>NC_000005.10:180876476-181026922 GCF_000001405.40 Homo sapiens | reverse complement strand
GGACTTACATAAAAATCTTCCAGTTTTAATAGACTTTTAAACTGATACCAACTTAACTTTTGTCACAAATACTCTAGACTTTTCCTCTCTCACAATTGATAATCTTGTGGCTTCAATTTAGATCTTTCTATACTGTGTGTTCCTTAACAATTTATAGTTATCACTGATCGTTTTGATGTTTTATACTGGAGATCTGAAAGATCTCCATTTCAGTAATATAGTATTCTGAATTTGATTATTAATTTATGTCTACCAGTGAGGATTATACCTTCATATGTTTTCATGTTAGTAGTTATTGTCCTTTCACTTCCAGATGAAGCACTTTATTTATTTATTTATTTTTTGAGATGGAGTCTTGCTCTGTTGCCCAGGCTGGAGTGCAGTGGCGTGATCTCTGCTCACTGCAAACTCTGCCTCCCGGGTTCACACCCTTCTCCTGCCTCAGCCTCCCAAGTAGCTGGAACTACAGGCACCCGCCACCACTCCCGGCTAATTTTTTGTATTTTTAGTAGAGATGGGGTTTCACCGTATTAGCCAGGATGGTCTCGATCTCCTGACTTCGTGATCCTCCCGCCTTGGCCTCCTAAAGTGCTGGGATTACAGGAGTGAGCCACCGTGCCCGGCTGATGAAGCACTTTCTTAAACGTTTCTTGTAATGCCAGTCTTGTGGTGATGAATTCTCTCTGCTTTTGCTTGTCTGGGAAATACTTTATTTCTGAGGTATATCTCTGCTGGGTCTATTATTCTTGGCTAACATTTTTCTTTTAGCACTTGGAATAAATCATCCCTTTCCCTCCTATTCTGCAAGATTTCTGCTAAGAAATGCGCTGACAGTCTATTGTAGCTTGCCTTATATGTAATTTGTTACTTTTCTCTTGCTGATTTTACAACTCTGTCTTTGTTGTTGATTTCTGACAGTTTGAATATAATATACCTCAAAGATCCATTTGGATTGAATCTATAAAGGGTCCTTTAAGATTTATGGGTCTGGTCGTTCATATCTCTTCCAAGGCTTGGGCAGATTTCATCTATTATTTTGTTAAATAAGCTTTCTGTGCCTTTCACCATCTCTTCTTCCTCTAGAACTCTCATAATGCAAAAGTTTCTTTGCTTAATAGTCATTTAAGTCCTGTAGGCTTTCTTTGTTCTTTTTCATTTTTTTTCCTTTTTCATTCCTCTGACTAGGTTACTTCAATGGGTGCAGCACACCAACATGGCACATGTATACATATGTAACAAACCTGCACGTTGTGCACATGTACCCTAAAACTTAAAGTATGATTAAAAAAAAAAAAAAGACCTGTCTTTGAGTTTAGAAATTCTTCCTTCTGTTTGATATAGCCTGTTGTGAAGCTCCCAATTACATTTTTTTTTTTTGTCATCGAATTCTTCAGTTCCAAGATTTCTATTTGGTTCTTTATGATTTCTATCTCTGTTGAATTTTCTATTCAGGTCATAGCTTATTTTTTCATTTTATTGTCTATCTGTATTCTCTTGCTTCTCACTGCATTTCTTAAGATCATTATTTTGAATTCCTTTTCAGGCAATTCATAACTTTCCATTTCTTCGGGGTCAGTTACTAGAGAATTATTGTCCTCTTTCATTGACTTCATGTTTCCTTTTTCATGTTTCCTGTGTCCCTGCATTAACACCTGTGGATCTGGTGCAATGGTTGCCTTCTCTGATATTATGGAGTGGCTTTTGCAGGGAAAGTTTTGCCTGCAGATATGTCTTAGAGTGTCATTTGGGTAGGGTTCATTGGCTTTGGTTTTGAATGGGCGCAGTAGTCTCTGTGCAGTTTTTCAGCTGTAGTGGTCTAGGCTGCAGAAGTTTACGCAGCTGGTCTGCCAGATCTGAATGGGGATTGCCTGGGAGTTGTGTGCCTCACCAGTAAGTGCAGGGGCCAACCTGCCTATGATTGGGACCACCAGGGATGCAACACCCTGGCTGGTGAGTGTGCTAGTGGTGCACAGGGGCTGATCTGCTGGCTTGGGGTGGGGCTTTCTTGGGAGTGGTTCACTTGACTGATGAGCACATGGCTGCAGGCATTGACAGGTCCATCAGCTCATAGCCAGGCTCCCCTGGGTGGAGTGCCTGGCTGGTGAACATGCTGGCTGCATGCATTGACAGGTCTGCTGGCTCATAGCAGGGCTTCCCTGGGAGCAGCACACTGGCCTGATGAGTATGCCTGCAGTGCATGGGGGCCAATTTACTGGCTCAGGGCCAGGCTCCCGTGGAAGTGGCATGTTTGGCTGGTGAGCATGGTGGTGGCATATGGGGATCCATATGCCATTTGCTGGCTTGGGGTGGGGTCCCCCTGGAAGTGATGTGCACAGTTGGTGAACATGCAGGTGGCATGCAGGAGCTAGTTTGCCAGTTTGGGGATGAGGTCCCCCTAGAAGTGGTGCACCAGACTGGTGATTGCACCAGGATACATGAGGGCCTCCTGGCTCAGATTCACCAGCTCACCTGGCTACTGAGTGTGCTGAATGTGTACACAGCTGGTAAAGACTCAGCTTCTTTGCTGAGCAGGATTGTCTCTACTTTTACAGGCAGAGTGTCATGTGGATTCTGGTGCTGGGGTGCTGGGCCTAGGTTCTGAAGAGCTGAAGTTGGGGCTCTGCAGTCATTAGGATGCAGAAGGTGGGGCACCTCCTTGGTAGCTTATTCCCAGGAAGTAGTAACCTGTAGAAGCTTGGCTGGGGAATGGTGCAGTACTATGTGTAAACATGATGTAATGGCTGCATACCCTCAGAGATGAAAAGGTGCAGTGGTTACAGGCTCCTGCAGCAGGATGCACTGTGGCTGTGGATCCAGTATCAAGATGGTGCCATACAGCTGCAGCTTTGGTAATGTGTTAGGGAGTGGGCTACAATGTGGGCTCCTTCTCTGGGGTAGTGCAGTTCAGGGATGCCAGGCAGCTCCCCCAACGGGGCTCAGGGCCTGTGGGCGCTGCAGGATTCTCTAGCAGCAAAGATTGCAGGTATCTGTGATATCAGTGGGGATTCCTGGGGGCCTCCTGGTTACCTTTTTCCTGCTGGGGGAAGTGCCTTTTTTTTTGAGTTAATCCTGGCTGGGAAGACAGTGTAGCAGAGGCTGAGTGTCCTCATTTTGCTTCTATGCAGCCCTTCCAAACGGTCTAGTTACATCATGTTTCCTGTCTTTTCCTGCTGTACGCCAGCATTCTCCCTTATACACTACAGTGCAAGTGTAGTTATTTATTCATCATTTGGGTCCTGTTTTTTTTTTTTTTTTTTGGTGTGGGGAGTACAGGCATTAGGGTCCTCTAGCAAACCATCTTTTGAACTCATCCTTTTTATCAGGAACTCACTGCTGTGATTACTGATCCACTCCTGTGATAATAGCATTAATCTCAGAACCATAAGACAAGGCAATTATAAATTTTTAAAAATAGCTGCATTAATCTATTCATGAGACCAGAGAGTCCTTATGACTTAATCACCCCTTAAAAGTCCCATCACTTAACACTGTTACAATGGCAATTAAGTTTCAACATGAATTTTGGCAGGGACATTTAAACTATAGCACAGTATATAGTTGGGCCTTTTTAAAAAAATTCATTCAGCCATTACTTTTTTTGAATGGAGAATTTAATTCATTTTCATTCAAAGTAAATACTGTTAAGTATTTACTATTACCGTTTTGTAATTTTTGTTTTGTAGATCCTTTTTTTCTTTCTTTCTTTTTTAGTCTCCCTTTGTAGTTTTATAGTTCTTTTGTAGTGGTATACTCTGAATCCTATTTATGTTTTGTTTTGTGCATCTACTATGTGTTTTTGCTTTGTGGTTATCATGAGGTTTAACTAAAATATCTAACAGTTGTACATTTTTGTCCCCTACACACACACATTTTATCTTTTGATATCAGAATTTATGTAATCTTGTAATTTGTATTCCTTAACAATTTATTTTTTAATAGTTTTGTCTCTTAACCGTCATACTAGAGATAAAATTGCTTTAACACCACCTTTCTAGTCCTAGAGTTTTCTGAATATGACTCGGTTACCAGTACCATTGTTTTGTGCTTTCATGTGTTTTATGGTATTCATCAGTGGCCTTTCATTTCAGTGTAAAGCACTCTCTTTCCTGTAAGTCAGGCATAGTAGTGATGAATTCTCTTAGCTTTTGTTTGTCTGGGAAAGATCTCTCAGCACAAACACTACTGAGGAGAGAGTGGGATGATACATTCAAAGTGAAGAAAAAATAACCAAGAATACTTTACCCAGAAAAGTTGTCCTTTAGAAATGAGAGAGAAATAAAATCTTTCCCAGACAAACAAAAGCTAAGAGAATTCATCACTACTGTGCCTTAGGAGAGAGTGTGATGATACACTCAAAGTGAAGAAAAATAACCAAGACTAGTTTACCCAGCAAAGTTGTCCTTTAGAAATGAGGGAGAAATAAAATATTTCCCAGACAAACAAAAGCTAAGAGAATTTATCACTACTATGCCTGACTTACAGGAAAGAGAGTGCTTTACACTGAAACGAAAGGCCACTCCCTCATTTCTAAAGGACAACTTTGCTGGGTAAAGTATTCTTGGTTATTTTTTCTTCATTTTGAATGTATCATCCCACTCTCTCCTCAGCAGTATTTCTGCTGAGAGATCTGCTGATGGCTGTATTGATATTTCCTTGTATGTGGTATGTTTCTAATCTCTTTGCTTTGAATTTTCCTTTGCTTTTTGGTAGTTTGACTATTATGTGTCTTGGTGAACTCTTCTTCAGTTTAAATTTAATTGGGGACCCCTGAGCTTCCTGTACCTGAATGTTGGTATCTCTTCCCAGATTTGGGATGTTTTTAGCCATTATTTCTCGTAACATTTTTTCTCATCTTTTTTATTTCTCTTCTTCTGCAACTCCTATTATGCAAAAATTAGTTTTCTTGATGGTATTCTATAACTCATGTAGTCTTTCTTCATTTTTATTCTTTTTCTTTTTGCTCTTCTGACTGGATAATTTTTAAAATTTCTGTCTTTGAGCTCATCAGTTCTTTATTTGCCCTGATTGAGTCTGCTGTTGAAGTTTTCTGTTGACTTTTTTTGGTTCAGTCATTGTATTCTTAATCTCTAGGATTTATATTTGGTTTCTAAAAATTGTTTCTATTTCTTGGTTTATTGATCTATTTTTTCCAAATTTTATTTAATTTTTTATCTGTATATTCTTATAGTTCATTGAAATTCTTTAAGAGAATTGTCCTGATTTTTTTTGCCAGTCATTACATAAATCTACATTCCTTTATAGTTCATGCTTCCCTCTTTCTAATCCTTATGTCCCCGTGTTGGCATCTGTACATTTGAGGAGACTGCCACCTCTTCCAGCCTTTACAGGTATTCATTCACAGGAATTAACCTTCACTGTTTAGTTTAGCCTGTGATTCTGGATGGGCCAGCTGGTAGTGACCACAGGCAGGTAGAGCTTGCTGTTGAGTTCTCTAGTTGGGTGGGCTGATGCCTTTTATCTGAGGTCAAGTGGGGCTCCTGGCTGGGCTCTACTGTCCAGCGAGACCACTGGCTAGGCTCTGCGATCACGTGGAACTGCTGACTGGGCACTGCAGTTACCACTAATGAGGCCAGGTCACAGCATATATTCCCTGGCCAAGCAGTTTTGCTATTTGAGTTCTGCAGTTGGACAGGACTGCAGGATGGACCCAAAGGCAAGGCAGAATGCTGCTCAGGATGAACTAGACTAGAGGCTGTGCTCAGTAAACATGCATGATATGGGCTTGCTCTCCAGCTTTGGGGTGAGCTCTGGGGTTGGTTCAAACTGCTCTGTGGTCTCCTGTGTTGGGCAGGTCCAGCCCCTGTGCTCTGTAAAAATGTGTGGTGGCAGGTATCTCCCTGCTTGGGCAGAGCCTTGGGTGGGCTTTGTAGCTGGGTCAAGTGTCTGTTTGGCCTCTCATGTCAAGTACATGTGGCCCTTGTGCTTTGCCTAAACACACTGTGGTGGAAATTTTCATGCCTGAGTAAGGCCTTGGCATGGGCTGAGGCTGGTCACGGAGGCTGGCCATCTAGGTACTCAAGCCAGTTTGAACAACTTCTGGGAGAAACTAGCTGAGGTTTGTGGGTGGATTCTGCCATTGGCTGGCACTTCTGACTGGGCACCATCACTGGCAGGAACACAGAGCTACCCGAACAATCCATGTTACCATCACTGTGACCTCTGCTTCACTTCTTTGTTTCCACCTGACCCACGACAGTCTAGTCTTGCCCATACTTTCAGTGTTCCCCGTGAGAAAGGGCCAGAGTGGTAGGCCTCCTGGGAAGCATTTTAGAATGCTAGGGAAGCTGGATGTCTGCCTCTGGCCCTCTTCTCACTGTAGAAATTACGCATCAAAGTGAATCTTCTCTGTGTGGTGCTGTGTGGAGTTGGGGGAGGGGGAGGAGCAACGTGGTCAAAGCGAGACCATACCTCTTACCCTTCTAATATGGTTTTTATTTGGCTCTGTGGTCCACATAGTTGTCTCAGGCTCATTCCCAAGTTTTGGAGTTTTCACAGAGGTGTTCTTGTCTGTGGATGGTTTCTAGTTGAACTTTATGTTGGGGGAGAAGTGAAGCATGGGACTTCCTATTCTGCCATCTTGCTGATATCGCTCTCTAGCCTAACTCCTGATTTGGGACCTACAACACAGCTCCCTACCCACTACCCTAAGGGGAAAACTCAGAGGAAGGCCCCAGGAGGCAGGGTCCTTAGAGCCTCCAATAGCTAATTTCTACAGAGATTTGACCCTGACACTATCCTGGGTCTCAGTAACAGCCACCAGGACCTGTGTTCCTGTATATAGCTGCTTTGATTTGTTTTATTCACCTTTGTTATGAAAAGCAACATGGAGGTTGGGATTTTTGAGGGGAGAGGTTCATTATATTGGCACTCATTGGTTCTATTTTGACTACCATATTATGTAATATTAACTTTTTACTGTTTCTTATTCATAATTTTCGTCCTTATTTACTTTGGGTGGCACAGTGAATGACATCCTTCAGTTATGATTAAAGATAATTGCTCTAATATTGGAAGTTAGGGATTTTTTAAAAGCCTTGTTTCATTACTATTTGATGTGTGCTAACACTAGTTGAATCTCTGAAACTGTTTCACATTTCCTGGTTTCCACTGCCATTATAATGAACTGAAACACCGATGAATCATGTTTTTCATTAAGCTTTTCATTTGGAGATAATTGTACACTTAAAGTTGCTTTTTAAATGATAGTTTTTATTTTAAAACAATTTTAGACTCACTGGAAGTTGCAAAAATAATACAGAGTCTTGAGTACCTCCAAGTAAGCTTTCTCCAATGGTAATATCAGACATAGCTATGGAACAAGACCAAAATTGGGAAATTGACATTGATACAATTAATTGGATTACAGGCCTAATTCATATTTTACTAGTTCATATATGTGCTCATTATAACATATGTATGTCTGTAGTTTTTCACAATTTTATTACATGTATAGATTCATAAAACCACCATCATAATCAAGATGCTGCTCCATCACCATGTAAGAACTCCGTCATGCTGTACCACTATGGTCAAACCCTCCATCCGCTTCACTAATCCCTGGCAACAACTTATGTTTCCTCCATCTCTGTAGTTTTATCATTTTGGAATCATACATTATGTAACCTTTGAGACTGACTTTTTTCACTCAATAAAATGTCCGTAAAATTCATCCAGACTGTCGTATGTATCGAGAGTTTGCTCCTTTTTATTACTGAGTAGTATTCTATCTATAGCTGCAATTAGACATTTTCTTGCAGTTATGGGGAGATCTCCTCCCCATCGTCCAATAACAGGAAAACCATTCACAGGGTTTTCTTCTTGTAAAACCCTGTGAATTTTCACTACATCACTCCCTGGGGCTGAGGACTGATGGGTTGATCACCTCTTCCCACCTAGTGTCTTCCTGAGATGCTACACAAAAGGCCACATCCCTTTCCCCCTCTTGAGAATGTCTACACTCAGCTAACCAGGGGCTCACAAACATAGACTTGAAATAAAATAATTACATATGTAGCTGTATATCAAATACAGTACTATGGTTAAAAAGTGAATGTTCATATTACCAAGTGAAAGAAGCCAATCTGAAAAGGCTACATATTCTATGATTCCAACACTATGATATTCTGGAAAAAGCAAAACTTTGGTGACAGTAGAAAGATCAGAGGTTGCCAGAGATTCATGGTGAGGGACAGATGAATAGGCAGAGCACAGAATATTTTTGGGGCAATGAAAGTACTCTATATAATACGATAATGGCAAATACACATCATTATGCATTTGTCAAAATCCATACAATGTACAGCACCAAGAGTATAATGGAAACAGTGGACTTTGAGTGATAATAATGTATACATATAGGCTCGCTAATTGTGACAAATGTACCATTGTGGTACAGGATGTTGATGGTGAGGGAGGTATACATGTGGGGGCAAGGAGTATATGAGAACTCTGTACTTTCTGCTCAGTTTTTCTGTGAATCTTAAACTACTCTAAAAAATGAAGTCTATTAAAACAAAGATATAATCATAGCACTGAAAGGACAGTGTTTAGCTAATACCAATCACTATGATCAACCAGATCTCCCTTCAGTTGTTATTAGTGTTTAATAATTTATTTTTAAAACAGGAGAATAACTGAGATAAAATAAGCTGTATACATATAAAGTATTTAACTGATGTCCATGAACCATCCACTAACAAAATAGTAAACATATCCATCATGCCCCACATCATCCTTTTGCCCTTTGTAATCCCTCCTACACTAATCTCCCCTTCAAGCAAGTACTGATTTGCCCTATGTCACTATAAACTAGTTTGTATTTTCTAGAGTTTTAACGTAAATTGAGTCAGACAATATCTTGGGAGGGAGTCTGTCTCTTTTTACTTGGAATAATTTAAAAAAACTTTTTTAAAAACAATTTTACTTTAAGTTCTGGGATACATGTGCTGAACATGCAGGTTCCTTACGTAGGTGTACATGTGCCATGGTGGTTTGCTGCACCTATCAACCCATCATCTAGGTTTTAAGCCCCGTATGCATTAGATATTTGCCCTAATGCTCTCCCTCCCCTTTCCCCCTCCACCCCCTGAAAGGCCCTGGTGTGTGACGTTCCCCTTCCTCTGTCCATGTGTTCTCATTGTTCAACTCCCACTTATGAGTGAGAATGTGCAGTGTTTGGTTCCTGTGTTAGTTTGCTGAGGATGATGGTTTCCAGCTTCATCCATGTCCCCGCAAAGGACATGAGTTCATTCCTTTTTATGGCTGCATAGTATTCCGTGGTGTATATGTGCCACATTTTCTTTATTCAGTCTATCATTCATGGGCATTTGGGTTGGTTCCAAGTCTTTGTTATTGTAAATAGTGCTGCAGTAAACATACATGTGCATGTGTCTTTATAGTAGAATGATTTATAATCCTTTGGGTGTATACCCAGTAATGGGATGGCTGGGTCAAATGGTATTTCTGGTTCTAGACCCTTGAGGAATCACCACACTGTCTTCCACAATGGTTGAACTAATTTACACTCCAACCAACAGTGTAAAAGCGTTCCTATTTCTCCACATCCTCTTTAGCATCTGTTGTTTCCTGACTTTTTAATGATTGCCATTCTAACTGGCATGAGATGGTATCTCATTGTGGTGTTGATTTGCATTTCTCTAATGACCAGTGATGTTGGGCTTTTTTTCATATGTGTGTTGGCTGCATAAATGTCTTCTTTTTGCCCACTTTTTGATGGGGTTGTTTTTTTTTTTTTCTTGTAAATTTGTTTAAGTTCCTTGTAGATTCTGCATATTAGCTCTTTGTCAGATGGATAGATTGCAAAAATTCTCTCCCATTCTGTAGGTTGCCTGTTCACTCTGATGATAGTTTCTTTTGCTGTGCAGAAGTTCTTTAGTTTAATTAGATCTCATTTGTCAATTCTGGCTTTTGTTGTAATTGCCTTTGGTGTTTTAGTCATAAAGTCTTTGCCCAGGCCTCTGTCCTGAATGATATTGCCTAGGTTTTCTTCTAGGATTTTTAAGGTTTTAGGTTTTACTTTTAAGTCTTTAATCCATCTTGAGTTAAAAGATGTAAGCAAGGGGTCCAGTTTTTGTTTTCTGCATATGGCTAGCCAGTTTTCCCAGAACCATTTATTAAATAGGGAATCCTTTCCCTATTGCTTGTTTTTCTCAGGGTCGTCAAAGATCAGATGGTTGTAGATGTGTGGTGTTTTTCTGGGGCATCTGTTCTGTTCCATTGGTCTATATATCTGTTTTGGTACCAGTACCATGCTGTTTTTGTTACTGTAGCCTTGTAGTCGGGTAGCATGATGCTTCCAACTTTGTTCTTTTTGCTTAGGATTGCCTTGGCCATACGGGCTCTTTTTAGGTTCCATATGAAATTTAAAGTAGTTTTTTCTAGTTCTATGAGGAAAGTTAATGGTAGCTTGATGGGAGTAGCATTGAATCTATAAATAACTTTGGGCAGTATGGCCATTTCATGATATTGATTCTTCCTATCCATGAGCATGGAATGTTTTTTCCATTTGTTTTTGTCCTTTCTTATTTCCTTGAGCAGTGGTTTGTAGTTCTCCTTGAAGAGTTCCTTCATGTCCCTTGTAAGTTGTATTCCTAGGTATTTTATTTTCTTTGTAGCAATTGTGAATGAGAGTTCACTCATGATTTGGTTTTCTGCTTGTTTATTTTTTGTGTATAGGAATGCTGGTGATTTTTTTTTATTATTATACTTTAAGTTCTGGGCTACATGGGCAGAATGCGCAGTTTTGTTACATAGGTATACACATGCCATGGTGGTTTGCTGCACCTATCAACCCATCACCTTCATTAAGTATCACTCCTAATGTCATCCCTCCCCTAGCCCCCCACCTCCTGACAGGCCCTGGTATGTGATGCTCCCCTCCCTATGTCCTTGTGTTCTCATTGTTCAACTCCCACTTACGAGTGAGAAAATGCAGTGTTTGGTTTTCTGTTCTTCTGATAGTGTGCTGAGAATGGTGGTTTCCAGCTTCATCCGGTCCCTGCAAAGGACATGAACTCATCCTTTTTTTATGGCTGCATAGTATTCCATGGTGTATACGTGGCACATTTTCTTTATCCAGTCTATTATTGATGGATATTTGGGTTGGTTCCATGTCTTTGCTATTGTGAATTGTGCTGCAATAAACATACATGTGCATGTGTCTTTATAGTAGAATGATTTATAATTCTTTGGGTATATACCCAGTAATGGGATTGCTGGGTCAAATGGTATTTCTAGCTCTAGATCCTTGAGGAATCACCACACTGTCTTCCACAATGGTTGAACTAATTTATACTCCCACCAACAATGTAAAAATGTTTCTATTTCTCCACATCCTATCCAGCGTCTGTTGTTTCCTGACTTTTTAATGATTGCCATTCTAACTGGCCTGAGATAGTATCTCATTGTTGTTTTTGATTTGCATTTCTCTAAATGACCAGCGATGATGAGAATTTTTTCATATGTCTGTTGGCTGCATTAAAGTCTTCTTTTCAGAAGTTTCTGTTCATATACTTTGCCCACTTTTTGATGGGGTTGTTTGTTTTTTCTTGTAAATTTGTTTAAGTTCTTTGTAGATTCTGGATATTTGCCCTTTGTCAGATGGATAGATTGCAAAATTTTTCTCCCATTCTGTAGGTTGCCTGTTAACTCTGATGATAGTTTCTTTTGCTATGCAGAAGCTCTTTAGTTTAATTAGATCCCATTTGTCAATTTTGTTTTTTTGTTTTTTAAATTATATTTTAAGTTCTACGGTACATGTGCACAATGTGCAGGTTTGTTACATATGTATACATGTGCCATGGTGGTTTGCTGCACCCAACAACTCATCATTTACATTAGGTATTTCTCCTAATGCTATCCCTCCCCCAGCTCCCTAACCCCTGACAGGCCCCAGTGTGTGATGTTCCCCACCCTGTGTCCAAGTGTTCTCATTGTTCAGTTCCCACCTATGAGTGAGAATATGTGGTGTTTGATTTTCCATCCTTGTGATAGTTTGCTGAGAATGGTGGTTTCCAGCTTCATCCATGTCCCTGCAAAGGACATGAACTCATCCTTTTTTATGGCTGCATAGTATTCCATGGTGTATATGTGCCACATTTTCTTAATCCAGCCTGTCATTGATGGACATTTGGGTGGGTTCCAAGTCTTTGCTATTGTGAATAGTGCCACAATAAACATACATGTGCATGTGTCTTTATACTAGCATGATTTATAATTCTTTGGGTATATACCCAGTAATGGGATCGCTGAGTCAAATGGTATTTCTAGTTCTAGATCCTTGAGGAATCACCACACTGTGTTCCACAATGGTTGAACAAATTTACACTCCCACCAACAGTGTAAAAGCATTCCTATTTCTCCACATCCTCTTTAGCATCTGTTGTTGCCTGATTTTTAATGATCACCATTCTAACCAGCCTGAGATGGTATCCAATGACTTTCTTCACAGAATTGGAAAAAACTACTTTAAAGTTCATATGGAACCAAAGAAAGAGCCTGCATAGCCAAGACAATCCTAAGCAAAATGAACAAAGCTGGAGGCATCACTCTACCTGACTTCAAACTATACTACAAGGCTACAGTATGGTACTGGTACCAAAACAGATATATAGACCAATGGAATGGAACAGAGGCCTCAGAAATAACACCTCACATCTACAACCATCTGATCTTTGACAGACCTGACACAAACAAGCAGTGGGAAAAGGATTCCCTATTTAATAAATGGTGTTGGGAAAACTGGCTAGCCATATGTAGAAAGTTGAAACTGGATCCCTTCCTTACACCTTATACAAAAATTAGTTCATGATGGATTAAAGACTTAAATTTTAGACCTAAAACCATAAAATCCCTAGAAGAAAACCTAGGCAATATCATTCAGGACATAGGCATGGGCAAAGACTTGATGACTAAAACACCAAAAGCAAGGGCAACAAAAGCCAAAATTGACATATGGGATCTAATTAAACTAAAGAGCTTCTGCACAGCAAGAGAAACTACCATCAGAGTGATCAGGCAACCTACAGAATGGGAAAAAATTTTTGCAATCTATCCATCTGACAAAGGGCTGATATCCAGAATCTACAAAGAACTTAAACAAATTTACAAGAAGAAAACAAACAACCCCATCAAAAAGTGGGCAAAGGATATGAACAGACACTTCTCAAAAGAAGACATTTATGCAGCCAACGGACACACGAAAAAATGCTCATCATCACTAGTCATCAGAGAAATTCTAATTTCGGTTTTTGTTGCCATTGCTTTTGGTGCTTTAGAGATAAAGTCTTTGCCCATGCCTACATCCTGAATGGTATTGCCCAGGTTTTCTTCTAGGATTTTTATGGACCTAGGTCTTACGTTTAAGTCTTTGATCCATCTTGAGTTAATTTTTGTATAAGGTGTGAGGAAGGGGTCCAGTTTCAGGCTTCTGCATATGGCTAGCCAGTTTTCCCAGCACCATTTATTAAACAGGGAATATTTTCCCCATTGCTTGTTTGTGTCAGGTTTGTCAAAGATCAGTTGGTTGTAGATGTGTGATGTTATTTCTGAGGCCTCTCTGTTCTGTTCCATTGGCCTAAGTATCTGTTTTGGTACCGGTACCATGCTGTTTTTGTTACTGTAGCTAGCCTTGTAGTATTGTTTGAAGTCAGGTAGCATGATGCCTCCAGCTTTGTTCTTCTTGCCCAGGATTGTCTTGGCTATGCGGGCTCTTTTTTGGTTCCATATGGAGTTAAAGTAGTTCTTTCCAATTCTGTAAAGAAAGTCAGTGGTAGCTTGATGGGGATAGCATTGAATCTATAAATTACTTTGAGCAGTATGGCCATTTTCACAATATTGTTCCTATCCATGAGCATGGATTGCTTTTCCATTTGTGTCCTCTCTTATTTCCTTGAGCAATGGTTTGTAGTTGTCCTTGAAGAGGTCCTTCACATCCCTTGTAAGTTGGATTCCTAGGTATTTTATTCTCTTTGTAGCAATTGTGAATGGGAGTTCACTCATGATTTGGCTCTCTGTTTGTCTGTTATTTGTGTACAGGAATGCTTGTGATTTTTGCACATTGATTCTGTATCCTGAAAGTTTGCTGAACTTGCTTATCAGCTTAAGGAGATTTGGGGCTGAGATGATGGGGTTTTCTAAATATACAGTCATGTCATCTGCAAATAGAGACTATTTGACTTCCTCTTTTCCTATTTGAATACCTTTTATTTCTTTCTCTTGCCTGATTGCCCTGACCAGAACTTCCAATACTATGTTGAATAGGAGTGGTAAGAGAGGGCATCCTTGTCTTGTGCTGGTTTTCAAAGGGAATGCTTTCAGTTTTTGCCCATTCAGTATGATATTGGCTGTGGGTTTGTCATAAATAGCTGTTACTGTTTTGAGATACATTCCATTGATACCAAGTTTATTGAGAGTTTTTAGCATGAAGGGTGTTGAATTTTGTCAAAGGCCTTTTCTGCATCTATTCAGATAATCATGTGGATTTGTTATAGGTTCTGTTTATGTGATGGATTACATTTATTGATTTGGAATGCTGGTGATTTTTGCATATTGATTTTGTATCCTGAGATTTCGCTGAAGTTGCTTATCAGCTTAAGGAGATTTTGGGCTGAGACGATGGGGTTTTCTAAATATACAATAATGTCATCTGCAAACAGAGACAATTTGATTTCCTGCCTTCCTATCTGAATACCCTTTATTTCTTTCTCTTGCCTGATTGCCCAGGCCAGAACTTCCATTACTGTGTTGAATAGGAGTGGTGAGAGAGGGCATCCTTGTCTTGTGCCAGTTTTCAAAGGGAATGCTTCCAGTTTTTGCCCATTCAGTATGATTCTGGCTGTGGGTTTGTCATAAATAGCTGTTATTATTTTGGGATACCTTCCATCGATACCTAGTTTATTAAGAATTTTTAGCATGAAGGGGCGTTGAATTTTATTGAAGGCCTTTTCTGCATCTGTTGAGCTAATCATGTAGTTTTTGTCATTTGTTCTCTTTATGTATTGATTATGTTTATTGATTTGCATATGTTGAACCAGGCTTTCATTCCAGAGATGAAGCCCACCTGATCATGGTGGATAAGCTTTTTGATGTGCTGCTGGATTCTATTTGCCCATTTTTGTTGAGGATTTTCGCATAGATGTTCATTAGGCATATTGACCTGAAATTTTCCTTTTTTATTGTGTCTTTGCCAGGTTTTGGAATCAGGATGATGCTGGCCTCATAAAATGAGTTAGGGAGGAGTCCCTCTTTTTCTATTGTTTGGAATAGTTTCAGAAGGAATAGTACCAGCTCCTCTTTGTACCTCTGGTAGAATTGGTCTGTGAATCTGTCTGGTCCTGGGCTTTTTGTTGTTGTTAGTAGGCTATTAATTACTGCCTGAATTTCAGAACTTGTTACTGGTCTATTGAGGGATTCGATTTCTTCCTGGTTTAGTGTTGGGAGGGTGTATGTGTCCAGAAATTTATCCATTTCTTCTAGATTTTCTAGTTTATTTGCATAGAGGTGTTTATAGTATTCTCGGATGGTAGTTTGTATTTCTGTGGGATCAGTGGTGATATCCCCTTTATCATTTTTTATTGTGTCTATTTGATTCTTCTCTCTTTTCCTCTATATTAGTCTAGCTAGTGGTCTATTTTGTTAATCTTTTCACAAAACCAACTCCTGGATTCATTGATTTTTTTGAAGGGTTTTTTGTGTCTCTATCTCCTTCACTTCTGCTCTGATATTAATTATTTCTTGTCTTCTGCTAGCTTTTCAATTTGTTTGCTCTTGCTTCTCTAGTTCTTTTAATTGTGATGTTAGAGTGTCAATTTTACATCTTTTCCACTTTCTGCTGTAGGCATTTAGTGCTATAAATTTTTCTCTTAATACTGCTTTAGCTGTGTCCCAGAGATTTTGGTATGTTGCGTCTTTGTTCTCATTGGTTTCAAATAACTTTTTTATTTCTGCCTTAATTTTGTCATTCATCCAGTAGTCATTCAGGAGCAGCTTGTTCAGTTTCCATGTAATTGTGTGGTTTTGAGTGAGTTTCTTAATCCTGGGTTCTAATTTGACTGCACTGTGGTCTGAGAGACTGTTATGATTTCCGTTCTTTTGCATTTGCTGAGGAGTGTTTTACTTCCAATTATGTGACCGATTTTAGAATAAGTGCTATGTGGTTCTTAGAAGAATGTATATTCTGCTGATTTGGGGTGGAGAGTTCTGTAGATGTCTGTTAGGTCTGTTTGGTCCAGAGCTGAGTTCAAGTCCTGAATATCCTTATTAATTTTCTGTCTCGTTGATCTAATATTGACAGTGGGGTGTTAAACTCTCCCACTATTATTGCGTGGGAGCCTAAGTCTCTTTGTATGTCTCTAAGAACTTCTTTTATGAATCTGAGTGCTCCTGTATTAGGTGCATATATATTTAGGATAGTTAGCTCTTCTTATTGCATTGATCCCTTTACCATTATTTAATGCCCTCCTTTGTCTTTGTTGCTTTAAAGTCTGTTTTATCAGAGACTAGGATTGCAGCCCCTGCTCTTTTTGCTTTCCATTTGCTTGGTAAATATTCCTCCATCCCTTTATTTTGAGCCGATGTGTGTCTTTGCATATGAGATGGGTCTCCTGAATGCAGCACACCGATGGGTCTTGACTCTTTATCCAATTTGCCAGTCTGTGTCTTTTAATTGGGGCAGTTAGCCCATTTACATTTAAGGTTAATATTGTTATGTGTAAATTTGATCCGGTCATCATGACGCTTGCTGGTTATTTTGCACATTCCTTTATGCAGTTTTTTCATAGTGTCATTGGTCTTTATATTCTGGTGTGTTTTTGTGGTGGCTGGTACCAGTTGTTCCTTTCCATATTTAGTGCTTCCTTCAGGAGCTCTTGTAGGGCAGGATTGGTGGTGACAAAATCCCTCAGCATTTGCTTGTCTGTAAAGGACTATATTTCTCCCTCATTTATGAAGCTTAGTTTGGCTGGATATGGAATTCTGGGTTGAAAATTTTTTTAAGAATGTTGAATATTGGCCCTCACTCTCTTCTGGCTTCTAGGGTTTCTGCAGAGAGATCCACTGTTCATCTGATGGGCTTCCCTTTGTAGGTAACCTGACCCTTCTCTCTGGCTGACCTTAACATTTTTTCCTTCATTTCAACCTTGGTGAATCTGACGATTATGTGTCTTGGGGTTGCTCTTCTCGAGGAGTATCTTTGTGGCATTCTCTGTATTTCCTGAATTTGAATGTTGGCCTGTCTTGCTAGGTTGGGGAAGTTCTCCTGGGTAATATTCTGAAGTGTGTTTTCCAACTTGGTTCCATTCTCCCCATCACTTTCAGGGACCCTGATCAATCATAGGTTTGGTCTTTTCACATACTCCCATATTTCTTGGAGGCTTTGTTTGTTCCTTTTCATTCTTTTTCTCTAATCTTGTCTTCATGCCCTATTTCAGTAAGTTGTTCTTCAGTCTCTCACATCCTTTCTTCCTCTTGATCGATTCGGCTATTGATACTTGTGTATGCTTCACGAAGTTCTCGTGCTGTCTTTTTCAGCTCCATGAGGTCATTTATGTTCTCCTCTAAACTGGTTATCCTAGTTAGCCATTCCTATAACCTTGTCAACGTTCTTAGCTTCCTTGCATTTGGCTAGAACATGCTCCCTTACCTCAGAGGAGTTTGTTATTACCCATATGCTGAAGCCTACTTCTGTCAATTTGGCAATTCTTTCAAACTCATTTTCTGTCCAGTTTTGTGCCCTTACTAGACAGGAGTTATGATCATTTGGGGAAGAGGCATTCTGATTTTTGAAATTTCCAGCATTTTTAAGCTGGTTTTTCCTCATCTTTGTGGATTTATCTACCTTTGATCTTTGAGGCTGATGACCTGTGGTTGGGGTTTTTGTGTGGGGATCCTTTTGTTGATGTTGATGTTACTGCTTTCTGTTTGTTAGTTTTTCTTCTAACAGTCAGACCCCTTTTCTGCAGGTCTGCTGCAGTTTGCTGGAGGTCCACTCCAGACCCTATTTGCCTGGGTATAACCAGTGGAGGCTGCAGAACAGCAAAGATTGCTGCCTGCTCCTTCCTCTGGAAGCTTCATCTTAGAGGGGCACCAGCCTGATGCCAACCAGAGCTCTCCTGTATGAGGTGTCTGTCAACCCCTGTTGGGAGGTCTCTCCCCGTCAGGTGACACAGGGGTCAGGGACCCACTTGAGGAGGCAGTCTGTCCCTTAGCAGAGCTCGAGTGCTGTGCTGGGAGAGCCCTCCTTGTCAGCATCTGCTGCTCTCTGCAGAGCCAGCAGGCAGGAACGTTTAAGTCCACTGAAGCTGCACCCACAGCCGCCCCTTCCCCCAGGTGCTCTGTCCAAGGGAGTTGGGACTTTTATCTATAAGCCCCTGACTGGGACTGCTGCCTTTCTTTCAGAGATGCCCTGCCCAGTGAGGAGGAATCTAGAGAGGCAGTCTGGCCACAGCCTCTTTGCCGTGCTGTGTTGAGTTCCGCCCAGTCCGAACTTCCAGGCCTCCTTAGCACTGTCAGGGGAAAACCACCTATTCAAGCCCCAGTAATGACAGATGCCCCTCCCCCAACCAAGCTCCAGGTCAGCTCCAGACTACTGTGCTGGCAGCAGGAATTTCAAGCCAGTGGCTCTTAGCTTGCTGGGCTCCGTGGGAGTGGGACCCGCTGAGTGAGCCCACTTGGCTCCCTAGCTTCAGCCCCCTTTCCAGGGGGTGAACAGTTCTGTCTTGCTGTGGTTCCAGGCGCCACTAGGGTATAAAAAAACACTCCTGCAGCTGGCTCAGTGTCTGCCCAAACAGCCACCCAGTTTTGTGCTTGAAACCCAGGGCCCTGGTGGTGTAGTCACATGAGGGACTCTCCTGTTCTGTGGATTGCAAAAACCGTGGGAAACGCGTAGTGTCTGGGCCAGATAGCACAGTCCCTCACAGCTTCCCTTGGCTGGTGGAGGGAGGCCCCCCACTCCTTGCACTTCCTGGGTTGAGGCAACACCCCGCCCTGCTTCTGCCTGCCTTCCATGGGCTGCACCCACTGCCTAACCAGTCCCAATGAGATGAACAGGGTACCTCAGTTGGAAATGCAGAAATCCCCTGCCTTCTGCATTGGTCTCGCTGGCAGGCCAGAGCGTTCCTATTCAGACATCTTGCCAGATCCTTCCCATGTTTTTCTTTTCTTTTCTTTTCTTTTTTTTTTTTTTTTGAGACGGAGTCTCGCTCTGTTGCCCAGGTTGGAGTGCAGTGGCGCCATCTCGGCTCACTGCAAGCTCCGCCCCCTGGGTTCACGCCATTCTCCTGCCTCAGCCTCCCGAGTAGCTGGGACTACAGGTGTCCACCACCATGCCCAGCTAATTTTTTGTATTTTTAGTAGAGACGGGGTTTCATCATGTTAGCCAGGATGGTCTCAGTCTCCTGACCTTGTGATCCACCCACCTCGGCCTCCCAAAGTGCTGGGATTACAGGCGTGAGCCACCACGCCCAGCCCTCCAATGTTTTTCTTTATCATAAAATTAAATTTAAAATATGGAACACTTCATGAATTTGCATGTCCTCCTTGTGCAGGGGCCACGCTAATCTCTGTATCATTCCAATTTTACTAAACGTGCTGCCAAAGCAAGCACTACTTGTAATAATTTCTGTGAGATTTAATGATTTTGTGTGTATAACAATATTCTTTTTTATTTCCGAGTAGCACTTTATTTGCATGGATATATCATAATTTGTTATCAATTGGTGAGCTTTGTGTTGTTTTCAAATTTTGGCTATTACAAATAAAGCTGCTATGAACATTCACAGATTTCCTTTTCTCTTGGAAAAATAATTAGAAGGCCATGCTGGATCATATGGTTAGTGACTGTTGAACTTTTAAAGGAACTACTGAACTGTTTTCCAAAGTGACCATATTATTTGACAGTCCCATGAGCAGTGTATGAGAATTCCTTCCCTCCACATCCTCACCAACACTTGCTATTGTCAGTCTTTGTAATTTTAGCCACTTTAATAGATGGTAATGGTATCTTGCTGTGGTTTTAGTTTGCATTTTCTTAGTGTTTAATGACATTAAGTATCTCTTCCTGTGCTTATTTTTCATCTATGTATCTTCCTTGTTGACAGGTTTTATCAGTAATGATGGTGGCTTTATGAAACTTTTTTTCTGCATCGTTGAAATGATCATATGGTTTTCTTTTTTACTTTATTAATGTGCTGAATTACACTGGTTGATATTTAAATATTAAACCAACTCTGCATTTGTGGGACAAACCACACTGAGTAGTTATATATCATCTTTAAATATATTGTTTAGTTTAATTTGTTAAAATTTTATTTAGAATTTTTGTGTCTGTGTTAATGAGGGATATGGACCTGTAGTTTTCCTTCCTCTTCTTCTGTTTTCTTTGCCTGGTTTTGGTATCAGGTAATGCTGGGCTTATAGAATCAGTGAAAAATCCTACCTCCTCTTTATTCTTTGAGCCTCACAAAGCAGGTGTTCAATAACTATTCCATGGGTGATTTGGTATAGAGAAAAGTAAATTAATGTGGAATAAGCAAACAGAGTTTATGGTGGGAAAATGTATAATATAAAAACACATCATTAGCAAACACTGTGCCCTCAAACCTGCAAGCATGATTCACATTCGTTGTCTCTTTAATCTTCACCTGTGAGGCAGGAATCACTGTCCGTGACTAGCAAATGAGGAGCCTGGGAGGTTGTGACTTGTTCAAGATCGCTTAGCTGGATGGAGTTTTCACAAACTAAACCTAATGTGAGTCTATTCCGTCCCCACTTCAGGGCAGCCATGGCTTCTGACTCCCACAGGGTCAGGCCAATCCCCCCTCATCTGGAAGCTGTGACTGCCGCTGCTGCAGGGCTCAGGGCAGAAGAACCTCAGCTCCCTAAAGGAGAGTGGGGGGCGTGACTCTCTGTGCGCAGGCTCCGGAGAGGAAGCTGG
The DNA here is from genome assembly GCF_000001405.40 of Homo sapiens. Taxonomy (NCBI): domain Eukaryota; kingdom Metazoa; phylum Chordata; class Mammalia; order Primates; family Hominidae; genus Homo; species Homo sapiens. Next base: position 181,005,951 of record NC_000005.10, on the reverse strand, counting down.
GGCCACCTGTCGGGAGCACTCTCCCTTGGCTGTGTCTGGGTCTGTGGTGTGGGGCCCTTTAAGCAGGGTCTTCTCTGTCTCATCCCCAGGACACTGGACATATGAATATGGGAGTCCCCTTTTCCTCGTCATACATCGCATGCTGGATATAGGGTCTCAACAAGCCTTCAAACTGACATGTCAGCAGGGTATAAATAAGGGACTGGTCATTTGTATTGAAGAAGGAGATGGTCCCACCCTCATAGTCCAGGAAGACCCCTACTCGTGTAGGAGGGGTGCTGGGGGGGAGGCTGATAAAATGGGGATTGAATGTGAAATACAAATGTTCTGTTGTCAGTCTGAGGACCCAATACCCATTGTTGGGAGACAAAGTCACATTGTTCTTCCCCCTGTCTACGTCATCCCGACACACTCCCACATACCACCCTACATTTTGTCCCACGTCCACCTCCCAGTAATGTTTCCCTGCTTGGAAACCCTGAGAAGCCACCACACTCTTCCTTGTAAATCTCTTCTCAGAGTGAGGCACCTCCTGGGGAGCTTTTCTATGGGTTACAGTTTTCAGATCAGAAACGCAGAGCTTCGGGTGAGCCGTCTCTGGATCCAGAGTCACCTCCACTGGGGTGCGGTGGGGGAGAGAGGAAGCATGAGTTACTGAAGACGAAATCTGGGCTGGAGCAAGAGGTCGACCCTCCCACTGCAGACTGGCTCCGGGTAGGATCCGGCCAGTCCCACTATCCCACCAGCCATGTACCTTCTCCAGGGCAGCCCCCGTGCCTCACTGATGCTTGGAGATGCTCAACCATGAGATGTTCACCCAGCCCTACCACTGCCCTCCCACGTAAGCCCTCTATTTGACTTTGTGAGACCTTGAGTGACTCCAGGATTCAGCTTCCTTCCACCCACCAGTTCCTGCTAACTTCACTTAGTTCCCCTTTGCACAGACCCCTAGAAGCCAGCTACTAATGCCCTCAGTTCCCTGGCGTCTTGCCTGTGACCCCTCCTAGCTGACCCAGTCCCTACGCTTTTCCCTCCAAGTCCTGGGCCAAGAAGTGTATTTAGAGGCAGCTGCACCCTGGGGTGGATTCGGGCATCACAGATTTGCTGTCTACAAGCTGGATGGGCTCCATATCTGTCACTGGTCATCTTCCTACTCCATGCCCACTGTTACCCTCTCAGGCGTTGGTACCTGCGTGTTTCCGGGCGTCTCTCAATTCTGAAAGCAAGCAGAGAGAGCAGGCAGTTCCGTGCTCACGTGGGAAACAGGGCGCAGGGAGAAGGGAAAGACCAAGGATTGGGACCCTTTTTGAGTGTTGTGGACCCTCCAGAGATCTGAAGAAGGCTATGGGGCTTCTCTACAAAATGCACCTCCCCCAGAATCTGCAATTTCAGAGTTCCCATCACAAGCTTGGCTCTGCAGGGACCCACGGGCCTCAGGATATAAAAATCCATAAACGAGAGACTTGGAAAGGAGTCATAAATGTGTGAAGAGGAATATTTTCTTTTACCTGCCTGTCCGTGCTTTCTTCTCCAGTCTGAAAAACAAAAACAAAAACAAAAAACATGTAAGAGGCTGACGTCACAGAGCGGGGGCCCAGGGAGGGCGTGGGAGGGAATCCCTGCGAGTGGTAACACTCTCACCCAGTTTATCCTGGAGTTCCCACAAAACAAAAAGCAGACTATTTAGTGGTTGATACAGAACTGGATAAAGTCTCAAAGCATCAGGCCAGGGGAGGTCGAGGATCACCCACAAATTTTTCTCAGGTTCCTCACTGTGGCCCAGACACCCTCAGAGCTCATGATCAACACCTCCCCCCACCACACACACAGCAAACCAACGGGCAACAGGCACAGACAATTTGTGGGGACTTCCAGGCCCCGGGGCCTATCCTAAGCCCTCCAGATGTCCGAGGGGTAACTCATGAGCAGTGGATGGAGAGAGTGAGCAGCTGCTCCCCTCCACCTGCCGGTGCTTCCTGTCCAGCCTGCAGCCAGGGTCGTCCAGAGGCTCAAACTGTGGATCAGGGAGGGACCCGGGAGAACCATGTGTGGGAGGCTCAGGACATGACACATACCCAGTTCCGCCTGGATTTTCCCTGAAACAGAAACAGTATATTCAGTGGTGGACACAGGAGTGTGCAAGGTACAAACACGACGCTGGCTCCTTGCACAGGTGGGACGAGCTGCAGGTGTGAAGGGCAGGGCCTCTCCTAGGACACTTATATGTGCTCGTCTCCCCAGCCCCTGCACGGAGTGTGGCTCTCTGGGGTGGAGCAAGAGATCAGGAAGGTGCATGCTAAGGAGAGGGACAACAGCTGGGATGCTGTGGAGGTGGGGATGGAGATGGGAGAAGGCGGCTGGGAGGGGAGGCGGGGGTGGCCTCACCCCCAAGGGGAAGTGTCACTCCCAAGGAGGAGGAAATTTGTTCTAGGGTGAAGACTCTTACTGAGATTATCATTTTATCTCAGTCAGTCAGTTTTATTTCCTCTTCTATGAAGTCTTTGCAACCACCCTGAAATTTTCTTATTGTCTCTTGTTGTCGTTAGTAGAAATTTATTTATTTTTATATATTTATTTATTGAGTCAGGGTCTCACTCTGTTGCCCAGGCTGATGTGCAGTGGTGCGAACATGGCTCACTAAAGCCTTGACCTCCTGTGCTCAAGCCATCCTCCCATCTCAACCTCCTAAGTAGCTGGGACCACAGTCACGCACCACCACACCCAGCTAATTATTTTATTTTATTTTTTAAAAATTTTTTGTAGAGAGGAGTTCTCGCCATGTTGCCCAGGATGGTCTTACACTCCTGGGCTCAAGTGATCCTCCCACATCGGCCTCCCAAAGTGCTGGGATTACAGACACGAGCCACGGCACTCAGCCTGTTGGTAGAAATTTATGTGAACTCTTTATGTACTGAAAATCAATTATCTGCTTATCCTGTGCTCCATGTAAAGTAGAAAGGGATTGGCAGAGGCTGGCATTTTCTGAAGGAGCCATTTCAGGCCAGCACAGAGGAGGCTGAAGACTGGGTTCCCTGTGCCTCAGCTGGTGGCCCCTGTAGGCCTAGGGCTGGAAGAGCAGAGCCCAGAGGTGTGTGAGGGCAGCCTGATATCAGCTCCACTGGAACCATGAAGAAGGTATGGGCCCATGCTTCTCTCTCTCACTTACCTTTGGATTTGAAGAAAACAATTATCATCCCCATGACAACACCACACAGGGCACCACAGAGTAACCCGAGTAAAATAGAAGCCAGGCGCCAAGGTGAGGGCTGGAAAAACGTCTCTGAAAAACAGTCCCACAGACCCTTAGTGATAGCTAAGCAGGTAAGACAATTTTACGCCCATTTAAGGAATCCCCCAGTACCCCAAGATGAAAACATTTTTCTCTCATTTCTTCCACAGATTTAAAGCTTTGCATTTCTATAAACATCTTGATCCATCCGGATTTCATATATATATATATATATATATATATATATATATTCACGTGTGTGTGTGTGTGCGCGTTAAAGCTTTGCATTTCTTTATAAGTCTTGATCCATCTGGATTTCATATATATATATATATATATATATATACACACACACGTGTGTGTGTGTGTGTGTGTGTCTATGTCTAATGAGGCAGAAGTTCAATGTCATCTTCTTCTAAGCAGGTGTTGACTGTGCTGGCAATGTTTGTTGAGTGGACCTTGCTTTACACACTGCCACACATGCAAGGTCACCTCTGTGTACCTCATGTTCAAGCTTGGATTTGTTTCTGGGCTCTTTGTTCTCTCTCATTGATCCATAGGGTTATCTCTGTGCCAATAATTTTAATTGGCTTAATCTTCAAAGCTTTGGGATATGTCTCTGAGATAAGACTAAGCTTCTTAGCTTGCTCTTATTCCACTGTATCTTAGCAATTCTTGGCTATTTGTTTTGCCACATAAACTTTGGAATTGACTTGTTAGGCTTTAAGAAAACTCTGGGCCAGGTGCAGTGGCTCATGCCTATAAACCCAGCAGTTTGGGAGGCCAAAGTGGGAGGATTTCTTTTTTTTTTTAAAGGTAATGTTTATTCTTTTCTCCTTTAGATTTCTTTGTTTTGTTTTGTTTTGTTTTGTTTTGTTGAGACAGAGTCTCGCTCTGTTGCCCAGGGAGGAGTGCAGTGGCGCGATCTCGGCTCACTGCAACCTCTGCCTCCCGGGTTCACGCCATTCTCCTTCCTCAGCCTCCTGAGTGGCTGGGACTACAGGCGCCCGCCACCACGCCTAGCTAATTTTTTGTATTTTTAGTAGAGATGGGGTTTCACCATGTTAGCCAGGATGGTCTCGATCTCCTAACCTCGTGATCCTCCCGTCTCGGCCTCCCAAAGTGCTGGGATTACAGGCATGAGCCACCGCGCCTGGCCGGGAGGATTTCTTAAGGACAGGAGTTCGAGACCAGTCTAGGCAACAAAGTGAGACCCCCCCCCATCTATAAAAATATTTAAAATTAAAAAAAATTAGCCAGGCATGGTGGTGCACACCTGTGGTCCCAGCTACTTGGGAGGCTGAGGTGGGAGGATTGCTTGAGCATGGGAAATTGAGGTTGCAATGAGCCATGATTGCACCACTATACTCCAGCATGGGTGACAGAGTGACAGCTCATCTCAAAAAACAAACAAACCAAAAAATGTGCTGAGATTTTTCTATGGAATTGTATTGAATCTGTACAGCAATTCTAGGAGAACTGGTATCTTTAAAAACATGCATCTTCTTATCTGAAAGGTGTTATGTTTGTTCTCTTATTTTAGTTTTCATTAGTGTCTTTTAATACAGTTTTATAATACCCTTCAATAAGATTTTGTAAACATTTTATTAGATTTTGTTTATTCCTCTCATTTTTCATGAACACGATGGATTCCTTTATGAGTTGAAAGAATTTGTCTGTAAATTTTTCTAAATTTTCCGTTTATATCATCATATAAACTGTGAACAATGGCCATTTAATTTTTTTCTTTCTAAAAGTTATAACTTTTACATTTTCTTCCCTTATTGAAGTGGCTGCTAATAGTAACAGTACTCTAATATAATGTGGAACAGAAGTGTTTAATGCAATCTCCTTATGTTATGATTTTATTTTATTTTATTTTATTTTTTTATTTTATTTTATTTTTTTTTGAGACGGAGTCTCGCTCTGTCGCCCAGGCCGGACTGCGGACTGCAGTGGCGCAATCTCGGCTCACTGCAAGCTCCGCTTCCCGGGTTCACGCCATTCTCCTGCCTCAGCCTCCCGAGTAGCTGGGACTACAGGCGCCCGCCACCGCGCCCGGCTAATTTTTTGTATTTTTAGTAGAGACGGGGTTTCACCTTGTTAGCCAGGATGGTCTCGATCTCCTGACCTCATGATCCACCTGCCTCGGCCTCCCAAAGTGCTGGGATTACAGGCGTGAGCCACCGCGCCCGGCCTATGTTATGATTTTAAATGACACATTATGTATAATGTTTTCGGTATGTATTTAAAAAATTAGGTGGCTTATTATTTTGTATGATGTTTGCTGCAAGTATCTTTAGATATCTTTTTATCAGATTAAGCAGAGTCTCTCCTATTTCTAGATTGATAAAAAAAATTTTCTTCTATTTCTAGATTTGCAAGTGTTGAAATCATGATGAATAGATGTAGAAAGTTATCTGTTTTATTTACATCTACTAAGAAAATTATAGTTTATCTCTTTTAACGAATTATGTTATAATTACATTAATATATGTTCCCATGTTGACCTAACATTTTTTTCCAGGATAAGTTTGGTCATGATATATGTTTTTGTGGACTTTTCTACTTGCAAAATTTTTGGTAAGATTTTTACATTTTCAATTATGAGTAATGTTGGTAAAAATTTTTCCTTTTTTGAATTGCCCATTTCTCTTATGATACCAAAATTATGTTGACTCAATAAAATGAGTTTAATATTTCCTATTTTTCTGCTCTCTGGCCGACTTTCTGAAAGATACATTTTCTCTTTTCTTGAATATTTGGTAGACTTTGTATATAAAACAATGTGGGCCTTGTGTCTTCCTTGTGGGAAGACTTTTAAATGCTGAGTCCACCTCTTTCATGGTTACAAATTAGTCAGGTAGTCTATCTTTCCTTCGGATTTTGTATTTTACGTTTTTCTTCTTTTTTAAAAATTTTTGAGACAAAGTCTCACTCTGTCCCCCAGGCTGGAGTACAGTGGGGCGATCTCAGCTCACTGCAATCTCTGTCTCCTGGATTTAAGTGATTCTCCAGCCTCAGCCTCCAGAGTAGCTGGGATTACAGACACACACCACCACGCCCAGCTAATTTTTGTATTTTTAGTAGAGATGGGGTTTCGCCATGTTGGGCAGGCTGGTCTCAAACTCCTGACCTCAAGCGATCTGCCCGCCTCAGCCTTCCACACTGCTGGGACTACAGGCATGAGCCACTGCGCCTGTCCTGTATTTTACATTTTTCTATGAAAACTTTCACTTCATCATATTCAATAGAAAAGGAAAAAGTTATTCAAAGCAGTTTATCTTACAAATCTCTACTAAATCTTTAGTTGTGCCTTCTTGTTATTTCCTGCCTTGTTTAATTGTGCTGTTTCTCTTTTATTCTTAACTGATGTTGCCAGTTTATCTATTTTAATAACACTTCGAACCGTCTAACTTTAGATGTATTAATGTGCACTATTTGTCTTTATATTTCCATATTTCTATATCTTTAGGATTTCTTCCACTTTCTTTTGCTGTTTTCTGAAATATATATTGATGCCTAATATCAATATTCAGCTATTTCATGCTAATAAGAACATTTAAGCATTAAAGGATATATATATATATATTTTTGAGATGGAGTCTTGCTCTATCGCCCAGGCTGGAGTGCAGTGGCATGATCTCGGCTCACCGCAACCTCCGCCTCCCGGGTTCAAGCAATTCTCCTGCCTCAGCTTCCCAGGTAGCTGGGATTACAGGCACCCGCCACCACACCCGGCTAATTTTTGTATTTTTAGTAGAGACGGGGTTTCACCATTATGGCCAGGCTGGTCTTGAACTCCTGACCTCAGGTGATCCGCCTGTCTTGGCCTTCCAAAGTGCTGGGATTACAGGCGTGAGCCACTGCGCCCGGCCAGATAAAATTTTGACTCAGAAAACTATATTAGTTCTATTTTACACATTATGATAGATTGTAATTTTATTATCATTCAGTTTTAAGAATTTTCTACCTATCACTATGCTTTCTTCAATTTCTCAGTTATTTTAATGTTTAAAAATTTTTCAAACACATAAGAATTTAAACTATCTTTTGCTGTGGTCATTTGACTTTATTAAATTATGATTAGAGAATTTCATGTGCATGATATCTATGTCTGAAAATTTTCTTAAAACCATTGTATGTGTTTATATCTGGTAAAATTTTATAAAAGTTCCAAGTGTGGTAAAAATTAATGTATATTCTACAAACCTGGAGTGCCATCTCCAAAAATACGTTATTTCAGACTTATTAATTTTTAGTTCAAATAGTATATATTCTTACTCATTTTGTCTACTTATTTAATCAATTTTAGAACTCGAAGTATGACCTTTTTTCTTATTTCTGTTGATATTTTCTATGTTTTACATGTATAAGGTACATGTATATATATTTAAAATTTTCATATTCTTATACTGAGTGAACTTATGTTTTTGAAATAACTCTATCCCTAATGCCCTTTTTCTTACAACTTTGTCTTCCTTTTCTTGACACTAATATATCTGTTCAATTCTTCGTGATTAATATTTCTCGAGTATTTTTTATTTTCAATGAATAGCTCATATGTGCTACATTTTTCCTCTTATGAATTGCCATTGAGATTTTTAGTATTTGTCTATTTTTATTTTTATTTTTATTTTTACATTTTTGAGATGGAGTCTTGCTCTGCCACCCAGGCTGGAGCACAGTGGTGCCATCTCGGCTCACTGCAACCTCTGCCTCCTGGGTTCAAGCGATGAGATTTTTAAATCCAGTCTGAGATTCTTTGTCTTTTAACTGGCAAATTCAATCCTTTTAATTGAGTGTGATTCTGGAAGCATTTTAGTTTATGTAAATTTTCCTACTATTTGTAAATCCTTTCTGAAATTTTCTACAGTTTTATTCTGCTTCATGAAGGAGCAACGACGTTTTCTAAAAATGAAGAAACAATTATTTTCTTAGTCCTAGAGTTAATTTCCTTAAGTTTTGTTACGTGTTGAGTTGTGAGTGTTGCACCATGGGGGTATTGTGTGGTGAAGGAAATACTTAATTCTACTGCCTTGAAATTGTAAACTATTCTACTTCTGCCTTATCAAATGTTTGGTTTTGTTTTTTATACCTCATCAATCTTTGACTCTCAAAACAAATCATTGAAGCTGGATGGTACTACACAACAATCCCAGACACAAGCTGCTGCTCTACCCTGGGTTACGTATGCACACACCCATTCCTTGCTCCTCCTTCTCCCCACTCACCTCCTATCAATACCTTGGATTCCACCTCATGACTCTGCTCAGCAAGGTGGATGGAACACAATATGCTCCCAGCATTTTCCTGGACTATAATGGAGATCTCCACATCATACAGGCTGTACCCATCTGCATTTGCTCTGGAGTCTGAAGACAAATCCTGTCCTTGTGGACCTTTCCACTTGGCTGTGGGCTGGGGGAACCAGCCTGAGGACAGGCAGAGTAACTGGATACCTCCGTCAACATATCCCACGATGGAAATGAGAGGAAGTGAGCCCAGTGCTGGGAAGAAAACAGGGAAAGATGAAAGCAAAGACCAAATTTCAAGCTTACAGCATTTTGAGTCTGGTTCATCAAGCCTGTACCCATAACACACATACATCCTTTTCTCTCTCTCTCTCTCTCACACACACACATCCTTTTCTCTCTGTCTCTTACACACACATCTTTTTCTCTCTCTCTCTCTTACACACACATCCACTCATGCTACTACTGCAAGCCCTTCCATGGTCTATGTTCATTCAACATTTATTTAGCAGCCACTATATATGCCTGGATATTCCTAAGTATGAAATAGGATGCAGTGAATAAGACACAGCCCCTTCTAATGAGAAACTCATTGATCAAATAGTGAGGAAACTGTATAAAATACATTTCATAGTGAAATGGCAACTATGAAAGCATGGTCAGGTTAGCACAGAGAAGAGTGCTTAACTGTCAGGGAAAGGCACAGCTTCCTGGAGATGACATTTGCACCCTTCTGTGTCAGAAAATAGGAGTTTTGTTGTGGTCAGGTCTGGGAGAGGGGAAGCATTTTAGACAAAAAGAGGCAAGTACAAACCACAATGTGAAAAGTTAACATGCCACAGTGATTTCAAGGACTCATGAATATTTATATTCCAGATGATGTATAAGAGAGTAGGGGTGTGAGACAAGATCTGAAAAAGGCACAAGGCAAGCCGTGGAGGTCATACCTTCACTGACCTGAGCAACGTGGACTTGCCCACAGCCACTTTAAGAACTGTAGACCAGTAAGGCTCTTACCAGCTTCCAGCAGGTGGGAGTTATGGCAAGGCCTGTATGTTAGAGAGGTCTCCAGGCAGCAGCATGGAGGAGGGACCATAGAGAACACTCCGGAGGAGAGTGACCCGCCATGCAACTACTGAAGTGACTCCAGTGAGAGAAAAGAAGGGCTGGGGAGGAGGAGGGCTCTGAGAAGGGGAACGGCAGGTGCAGAATCTATTTGAGAGGTTGAATCAATAGGACTGAACATCAAGGAAGGGTTTATTGTGACATTCAGATTTGTGACTTGGGAAATATGCAAAAGTACCTCTTATGTGGTTGACTTCAATTTTATGATTTAATATTGCCTTTTAACCACTCCAAACAGAACTTCCTCTCTGAGTGTTGTACTCTGTCATTCCCTAGGGTCTGGATCAGTGCATGGAGCCTAATAAATGTTTGTTAGTCAATAAATTAATGAAAGAATGATGGTGGTGTAAGCACCAAGGAAGGGGGCTCAAGTAAGATGATGTAGACTTCTCTTCCTTGCTCCTTTCTCTAAGTAAAATCATAAACCCTAGAAATGCGGCAAGCATAGGTGCATTTTGAAAAGTGGAAAGACTAAGGAGGACTGACTAGGGACCCCAGGAGTAGAAAAAAAACACAGCAGCTGAGCATCCTATGACCACTCCCCCACTCCCACCTCCAGCAGAAGTAGGTGGCCCAGCGGGAATCTTTCCACCCCTAAATGGCTGAAAATACATGATATACAAAGTGGTGCTGGCAAAAGAATTGATCATAAGCCCCATTGACTGGAGACCAGGGGAAGAGTACTTTTTCCCACTATGCCAGATGATCACCTCTCTCACAAGAAACAGTGAGGAGCAACATGGGAAAACACCTTTTACTGCCACAGTTAGTACTAGAAAGGATGAGCAGAATCTCCAGTGACATCAGTTAAGCAAAGTAGACCAAAATAACACAGTAAAGTCTCTGAAAATTAAATTGTATTTGGAGCCACAACCACCAAAAATAGACTAGGACCTGAGTCATAAATCTAAACATGGTGACTGCCTGCAAAACAGAAGCTTTACATAGGGTCTAGAGTATCTTACAATAGTTAAACCATTTAGATTTCAACTAAAAATTACCCATCATACCAAGAACCAATTAAATATCAACTTGAATGAAAATAGACAATCATGTGATTGCCAAGACCAACATGAATAGCTATTATTAAAATGTTTCAAAAAGCAATTATGAATTCTCTCAAAAAATTTAAAAAACAAAAACCATAGATGTTATAAAAAACAAATCAGAAGTAATATAACAGAAAAAAATGCAAAAACAAAAACTAACTGGGTAGCTTCAATGCTAGAGTGGAGATGACAGAAAATAAAATTATTGGCCTGGCATGGTGGCTCAGGCCTGTAATCCCAGCACTTTGGGAGGCCAAGGCGGGTGGATCATGAGATCAGGAGATCAAGACCATCCTGGTTAACACGGTGAAACCCCGTCTCTACTAAAAATACAAAAAAAATTAGCCGGGCGTGGTGGCAGGTGCCTGTAGTTCCAGCTACTCCGGAGGCTGAGGCAGGAGAATGGCGTGAACCCGGAAGGCAGAGCTTGCAGTGAGCGAGATTGCACCACTGCACTCTATCCAGCCTGGGCGACAGAGCGAGACTCCATCTCATAAAAAAAAAAAAAAAATTATTGAACTCCAGGATACAACAATGAAACTTAACCAGCATGAAAAGAGAGGAAAATATTTTTTTAAAGGGAAAAACAGATCCTCAAGGACCTATGAGACAATAACAAAATATCAACATTTATATCATCATAGTCCCAGAAGGAGAGGAGAAAGAGAGAGAGCTGAAAGAGTATTTAAAGAAATGATGGCTGATCTAATCAAATGAGGTGAAAGTCATGAAACTACAGATTCAAGAAGCTGAGAGCACACCAAATAGGAGAAATGTAAAGAAACCCATGCCTTGATAGATCATAATTAAATTTCTGAAAATAAAGAAAACACCAATGACAGCAGATTTTTCGTGAGAAATCTTCAAGGCCAGAAAGAAGTAGCACATTTTTCAACTGCTGAAAGAAAATAACCATCAAGAAACTCAGAAATTCTATATCTGGCAAAACCATTATTCACAAATAAAGAGGAAATCTTTTGCATATTTATTCTCAGATAAACAAAAACTAAGAGAATTTGTCACTAGCAGACCTATCCTAAAAGGATGGCTGGAGGAAATTCTTCAAACAGAAAGGAAATGATAAAAGAAAGAATCTTGGAATATTAGGAAAGAAGAAAAGCAATAGAAAAAGAAGAATAAGGAAAACTACAATAGATTTTCCATTTTATTAGTGTTTAACAATCACATATGTGCTGGGTGTGGTGGCTCACACCTGTAATCCCAGCATTTTGGGAGCCCAAGGCAGGGGATCATTTGAGGCCAGGAGTTTGAGACCAGCTGGCCAACATGGCAGAACCCCATCTCTACTAAAAATACAAAAAAAAATTAGCTGGGTGTGGTGGCGCATGCCTGTAATCTGAGCTACTCAGGAGGCTGAGGTACAAGAGTCACTTGAATCCAGGAGGTGGAGGTTGCAGTGAGCTGAGATCACACCACTGCACTCCAGCCTGGGTGACGGGACAAGACTGTCTCAAAGAAAAATAAAAAATAAAAAATAAAAATGAAAATTATATATGATGGTTTAAACAGAAATTAAGTCACTATCTGATATAGTGCTTATGTATATAGAAGAAATACTCAAGGCAATGTTATTTTTAAATTGTGGAGTTTGAAGGGCTCTGAATGAAAATGAAGTTTCCACACTTCAAAGTGGTAAAATGTTGATATAGTAGATTGTGATAAATTATATATGAATATCATAACACCTAAAGCAGCACCTAAGAAAACACTACAAAATGTTATACTAAAAAAAGACTAACAATAAGTTGTGATGGAATCCTAAAAAAAGTTTAGTAACACACAAGAAGTCAAGAAAAAAGAAGAAAATAAAAGAAATTGAAATATGACAGGCATTATCACTCTCATTTCACCAACATTGGGAGTGGCTTTCCTCTGTATCCTGTCAGGTGGTGGCAGGTGCAGGTGGCTGTCTTCTGCATCATGATCCCACCTGTGTGATGGCAGGGCCAGGCTCATCTCCAGAAACCTCAGGTCAGTGATCCCCACCGAAGCCTTTTTACATCATGTCAGAATCTGGAAAGTCTGTTTTATTTCATTATCTGAAATACTTTTAAGAGCTGATAATGGTAGCATGACTTTACAAGACAACTCAGTCATAAATAAACAACTGACCTGCCACCCGCAGCTCCCAGGTGGCCTCCTCATCGTAAATCTGGGAACTGAACCAGCACCCATACAGGCCGATGTCCGAGGGAGTGATGTTTTTTAGCCTTAGAGAGACACGCCCCCCTGCAATGGAGTCCTTCACAAACTCAGTTCTCCCTCGATACTGTGGCATCTGCTTAGATTCCCAGTCTTCCCCATCTCTGTAGAGGTGGACCACAGCATGGAACTGATTCCTGAAGAACCGCACTTCCATAGCCTCTGCACTGGTCTCAGGAAAGAGGGAGCAGGAGAACACGGCGTCCTCCCCCACCAAGGCCTGGACAAACTTGCCCGGTCCAGTGACTTGCCACTGTCCTATAGGAGGAAACATAACAGACAACTGAGCAAAATCCACTTGAGTCCTTCTCAGGGCTCTGGTGGGTGGAGAAGTGTGGGGTATGGGGTGGGGGATCCATCAGTCTTCTTTCTAAACCTGATGACTTGCATTTGCACATCTTACACTTGCGAGAATGCTTCCATGTCAGTTACTTCACTCGGTTCTCACACACATCTCATGTGAGATGAGGTGAGGTATGTGCTATCAATATTCCCACATTCAACATGAGGAAACCCTGTCTCTGGGGATGAGTTATTCAGGGGCCTGAGAGGCACCTTCCAAATGCAGACTCCCTGACTGGAGGAGAATCTATCTCCACGTGCTCTCCTCTCTGCCCATCTGCTTAATGAACACTCACACCACCCCCTTTGCATCTTCTATGCTAAAAACCTTTTTTAATGACCCAGGAGGGGAGTAAGTGGCCATAAAATATCGAATTTGGGAAAATTTATTTCCTTCAAATAGATGATTACATCTTGTAAATGTTTTATGGATACAAGAAAGGAATATATATTCTCCGCTGAAGCACATTTATTTGTGCTTCTTTTTTTTAAGTAGACTTCTGCCATATTCTGAAGGACATGGTGTGACACAGTGAGGAGATTTTGTAGTTTTTATTTCAGAGATTTGCCCTTTAGTGCACTGATGTTGTGACATATCTTTTCCATGACACCTACATTTTACTCCAGGTAATAATTTTATGTTTTTCCACTTTATTATTTCGTGCTTGAATAGTACTTCGTCTAGCAAAAGTTTGTCCAAGCCACAGCCTGTGGGCTGCATGAGACTCAGGACGGCTTTGAATACGGTCCAACACAAATTCTTAAACTTTCTTAAAACATTATAAGATTTTTTGTGATTTTTTTTCATTCATTAGTTATCGTTAGTGTTAGTTCTTCTTTCAATATGGCCCAGGGAAGGCAAAAGATTGGACACCCCCACTCTAGTGCTTTATCAACATGGCTTACCTGTTTTGTTTTGTTTGTATTTTCTTGGTACAGCTTTGTCTTGATCTTCACTTGAAACTGTCTTCATCTTGCTGCAAGTGACATAACTGTTTGTTTTCTGCGAGCCTTCCCTGCACGACTTTTAGCTTCATGAGGACAGAGTGTGTGTGTTTCCCTCAGCACAGGATTCCCCATGCCCAGCATGGAGAATGGGCTCCACAGACAGGGATTATGCCTAGGAATGGTGAGCGCTACTTTCTTTTTGCATTTGCTTCTTGGTTTTGTGGTCAACTAAGTAATTTTTCTGGTGCAAATCACACTTACAACTCTGTATGATTAGAGTTCTTCTTAGAGAGACCACAAACGATGGAGGCCCACTCCCTTCACCTTCTAAGTACCCACCCCCTTTGATTGGCAGTGTCTCTTGATTCATTCACATGTATCCATTTATGGTATATGGATATATCTGTGTGTGGTATCTGCATGTGCATCAGAGGCAAAGTGGATCCCATGTGTGAATTTCCAGATAAGTGGATATTTTTAATTTTAGCACTAATTATTTCTAAGTTTAAGTACATTTTATAAATCTTGCTGAAATGTATTTCACTCATGCATCTTTAAGAGCATTATTAAGTGAGGCGTGACTTTGCAGCCTGGTGTCAGACCAGCTGCTGACCTGGTGTAGCAGATGTTGAGGCCCTGCTCCTCACCACCCAACCCTGAGTCCCCCTGGAATGGGATGGGCACTTGCCTGCCTGCTGACAGCTCCGCCCCTGGAGCCTGGCCTCTGCCTCTCTGCTGATGGCTTCTTGCAACCTTTGGAACCTCCTCAGCCCAGGCACAGGGTGGCCAAGAAGGTTTGCGATTTTAATAGTCCCGGAGGGGCACATCTCACCCAGTGGGGAACAGGAAGCAGTGGATGTTGGGAAGATCCTGAGCCATCGTCTATACAGTTCCTCCAAAGGACCCAGTGGGACTGGGTCCCAGTTGCCACCGCAGCAACCTGCTCATTAGCGCACCCTCTATGGCTTACCTCCCGCTGGCTTCACTCTCTGCACCCTGTCACTTTTGTTTCTGAGAACAGTCTGCTAAACAAACCACCTGCAGAAAGGCCCTTGCTCTAGATCAGCTTTTGGGACCCAGCCTGTCAGCTGGGCTGCTGTGAGTGCTGCCTTCAAGGCTGTGTGAGACTCTCAAGCCAGGCAAACAGTTTTTAGTATATGTCTGTTTCTCCGGCCAGCCTTGCTGCTGTCATTTGTCTTGCCGACAGCGTCTCCCTTTACTCCTTCCCCTGGGGAGAAGCAAGGAATGACACTGTCTGTTGTCGCAACATACTGTGCCCCAGCGGAGCTCCGTGCTGGACGCTCTACATGCACGAGTTCACGCAATCCACACAGCAGCCCTTCAGCCACAGGAATGTCACAGATGTGATCTTATTATCTCTATGTCATCATAAGCAAAAATTGATGCTAATAGAAGTTATTAGCCACAAGCTCATAGAGAAAAGGAAAGTTTTAAAAATAGTGTTACTTCCTCTAAGGTCATTTCCAGCATGCCCTGCTGCCTCATGCAGAAACAGAAAGCAGACAGAAAGGCTTGTCAGAAAATGGGTGAGAATGTACTTAAACGGAGGCTGTCTTGTGAGTAACATACGTGGATTGTGATTTTTTGTTTTTGTTTTTTTGAGACAAAGTCTCACTCTGTCACCCAGGTTGGAGTGCAGTGGCACGATCTTGGCACACTGCAACCTCCGCCTCCTGGGTTTAAGTGATTCTCGTGCCTCAGCCTCCCGAGTAGCTGGGACTACAGGCGCTCACCACCATGCCCGGCTAATTTTTGTGTTTTTAGTAGAGATGGGGTTTCACCATGTTGGCCAGGCTAGTCTCAAACTCCTGACCTCAGGTGATCCACCCACCTCAGCCTCCCAAAGTGCTGGGATTACAGGTGTGAGCCACCACGCCCTCTGAGCACACATGGATTTTGATCCCCTTATTTCTGTTTTGTTGGCTTTGTTTAGCAAAACAGTCATAGGTAGACAAATAGCAGGATGGAACTGTTCCAGACAGAAAGTGAACACAGTCAAATGAACTTTTTGTGGCTTAACACTGACCACCCAGAATCCAGTGTTCTACTCCAGCCCCTATCTCTCCCTGCAAAATTTATTTGATTACTGAATATCCTATACACCAGGCTTTGTCTTGATGGTTACTAGAAGGAGAAAGAAGAGTGGGTTTCTGCCTAGACTATGCCAGGTTCCAACTTACTCCTCACTTAAAGGTCTGGTGCTCTACCCCATAACTACAGGTGTTTCTAACTCAGCATGTGCATAACTGGACACATTGTCTTTTTCTCCAAACATCCTAAACAGTGCCACCTTCCACCCAGGCACCCAAGTCAAAAACCTGGGGATTTTATTAGAGACTTCCCCTGCCTAAGCCCCACAGCCCACCTGGGGAGAACAATGTGTTTACCTTGGCGTTCTCAATGTGTTCCCTCCCTGCTCCCAGGGCCTGCTCCCATTATTCTGAGCTACTGTGATAGTGCCCAAGTCCTTGAGAAACAGCCCAAGGAGTCTTCCTCAATTCCTGCTGCCCTGTGCTTCCCACAGCTCCTGGCATTGGTAGTTTCCAGCCTGAGGCCAGGAGAAGCTGGAGAATGCAAGCACCAAAGATTCCTGCATCTCACTGTGCTGAGATCATTGTCATGAATGAACTCAAAATATTATTCAACAAGGAGAAAAACAACAGTCCAAACTGAAAGGCTTACCTGACACCAGCTCGTAGAAACTGAGAACCAAAATGAGCACAAAAGCCATGGATATTCCTGTGGGTTGATCTCACACTATGAAAACAGATGACAGCAGGGGTGGATGGATGATTTGGAGGTCAGGCCAGCTGTCTCAGGCGCAGGAGCCGTGGAGAGGCTCTTCATGAACGATGTCAAACTGTGCATTTCTCCCTAGAGCCTCCCTAAACATGGCTGTATGAATGAGGAGTATGGGCACTGGAGTTTGAGTCACTGCATTTATTGGCAGGTCATAAACATCTATCTCAGACCAGAGAAATGATAATGGAAAGAGAGTAGGGTACACTTGGAGGGACTTTGTTCTGGGTTGTGCCCCACATAGGTGGTAAAGGAATGCCAGATGCAGAGATATTTTCAGGCTTAGTCTGGCAGGCAGAGCTGCAAGAGAGAGTGAACATCTGTCCCTGAAAGAGAGATTGGACGGGCGCAGTGGCTCATGCCTGTAATCCCAGCACTTTGGGAAGCCAAGGCAGGTGAATCACGAGGTCAAGAGATCGAGATCATCCTGGCCAACATGATGAAACCCCGTCTCTACTGAAAATACAAAAATCAGCCAGGCATGGTGGTGCGCACCTGTAGTCCCACCTACTTGGGCGGCTGAGGCAGGAGAATTGCTTGAACCGGGAAGAGGGAGGTTGCAGTGAGCCCAGATTGCACTACTACACTCCAGTCTGGTGACAGAGTGAGGCTCTATCTCAGAAAAAAAAAAAAAAAAAAAAAAAAAAAGAGATCATCTCAGCACAGGGTAGTGAGGCAGTGAATTTGCCCAGGCACACAGGCCATGCCCCATGAGACTCATATTTCCTGGCACAGCATGAGGTAATTCTGCCCATCCCTCCCTTGTCTTGAGTTCAGGGACAGGACTCTGATCATGAGGCCAGATTGTGTTGAACTTGCCAGAACAACCAGGACCTTGATCTCCAAGGATCCAAGGTATTGAGAAGGGGACCAAGACGATGTTTCAGGCCCGGGGGTAAGGCAAAGGCAAAGATGCATTCATTCAGTCATTCATTAGATGCACTAAGCCAGGACACACACAGTTAGGGATTATGCAGTGATTTCAAGTCTAGGGACATGCACAAAGAATAAGCACTTACTAGATCAGAAAGCAGGTTTCCACGGAGAGCACCACGAAGGACAACGAAGGTAAAGAGCAATTTAAAAAGAGGAAACCCCATGAACTTAGAAATTGTTAATAACACAATTTTAAATAACTAATGGGTCTAAGAGAACTAATAATAGAAGTTGAAGGTAATTAGACTAGAAGAAGAATGAAAACACTACATTTAAAATACTATGATGCATGTAAGGCAGTTCTTACAGAAAGGCTTATCCTTAAGTGCTTGTATTAGGAAAAAAGAAGTCTGAAATTGGCTGAACAAAGCATCTGAGTTAATCAGAGTTAACTCTTGGATCCTGAGGGTCTCTGGCCACTCGCCTTGTCTTTTCTCTCCCTTCACTTTTCTTTTTTTTTCCCCCACAATCTGTAAACATGTAATCCTACCTTAAGTACAAAGCCATTACAAATGCAAAAAAATCAAAGATTACAAGTCAATTTCTTTCTGCCTACAGTAATAGCTGAAATGTAAAGAGATCAACTTCAGAAAAAAATACATTGAAAAACATACCACTTTAATAAGACAAAACTGCAAATTAGATGAATAGAAATTAGGTAGATCCATTTATTTTTTAAATACAAGTATAATTTTGGAAGAGCTATTTGACAAATTCAGCATTAACTGCCAACTCTGTAGACATGTTTAACAACAACAACAAAACAAGACATTTACTCTTGGCCCTTTTAGTACAGGTGAAGTGTCCTATTGCATCACAAGTATTAGTAATGAAGTAACAGATCCAAGGGCATAATATTAAAGATGTTTTTTTCCAATTGCGATTTAGTTGAAAAATAACATAATACGAACATATATGAATGGCTATCAAGACCACCAGTGATCTGCAGAATACCTAGAGGCCTACGTACTTAGAAGGCTGAAACTAGTAAAACAGTATTAAAATCAGTGTTTTTATTCTAAGATGAGCAATGACAGAGTGAGATTTCTGATTCCAATTTTATAAGGTGCGGTGGGGAGTTGAGAGGAGATATTGGGGAAGACTGGCACTTTGTGCTGAGTTAGAGATGGGAATGTGGCTCAAATTAGTTAATATTCAGAGTAGGATATTGTTTTAGAAAATTTTAAATGCATTCTAAATTGTGGCATATTGAAAAGGATATTAAGGAACAATGATTCATTAGCCCTAAACACAATTTAGTGAGTGCCATCAGTAGGCTTAAGAAATAAGCAGGGATGGCAGATGATGAGGCAAAATGAGGTGAAATAGAAAATGGAAAGTGGAAAATATGCTTGAACATTGGAGAATGTGAAAAGACCACTAAAGAAACTGCTTTGGTGATCACTCAGAAGTGCTCTTCCCATTGGCTACCCGCTCCTGATCACCTCTTCCCATTGGCTACCCGCTCCTGATCACCTCTTCCCATTGGCTACCTGCTCCTGATCACCTCTTCCCATTGGCTACCCACTCCTGATCACCCAAACACCAATTTTAGAGCACAGCAGCAGTAACTCCCTTTATCTGCAATTTCACTTTCCATAGTTTGTTACCCGAGGCAACCTTGGTCCAAACATATTATGTGGAAAATTCCAGAAATAAACCATGTTTTAAATCACAAGCTGGTTGTGCACTGTGGCTCATTCCTGTAATCTCAGCACCTTGGGAGGCCGAGGAGGGCGGATCACCTAAGGTCATGAGCTCGAGACCAGCCTGGCCAACATGGTGAGACCCTGTCTCTACTAAAAATACAAAAATTAGCTGGGCATGTTGGCGGGCGCCTGCATTCCCAGCTACCTGGGAGGCTGAGGCAGAAGAACTGCTTGAACCCAGGAGGCAGAGGCTGCAGTGAGCCAAGGTCGCACCACTACTCCAGGCTGGGTGATAGAGCGAGACTCCCTCTCAAAAAAAAAAAATAATAATAAAATAAATCACAAGCCATGTAGTGATGAAATCTCATGATCCTCCTCCTCTGTCCTGCCTGGGATGTGAATCATCCCTTTGTCCTGCTTATCCACACAGGTTGTATACAACCTGCCCCTTAGTCGCTTAGTAGCCGCCTTGGTTGTCAGATTGAAAAAACATAGACTATACAGGGTTTAGTACTATCTGAGGTTTCAGGCATCTACTAGGGGTCTCGGACTGTATCTCTTGCAGATAAGGGGAGACTACTGTATTACATTTCAGCTTCCATAAAACTTTACTAATTCGGATTAAGAACACAAGCCTGATTTTGTAAAAAGCATCCATAAATATTCAGAGGTATAGTTTTGCTTCATCAAGTAAAAAGAGCAACTAATTCCAACTGTTGAAGTAGTAACAAGTAAAGGCTTCACCAGGCTTGCCTTGATGAATAGTTAAGACACATTTTCAGGTCAACAGCACAAGATTATTGAATAACTTTTATGCTACAAACGCTGCTTCCACTCATCGAAACAACCCAACAATCCTTACTATTCCAATTTGCTGAGAACCATGTCGGATGCTGCCTTCAAGAATGAAATGTTCCTCAAAACTGTTCTATCAAAGGCAGTAGCTATTGGACATAAAACAGGTGATTTATTTCAGACTTTAGTTAGTTTTCATGAAGTCTTCATCTCCAACTTCAGTTTATTCCAACATTAATTTATGATAGGACAGTTATTAAAATTAGCCATTTCTCAGACTATAGCTTTGAAATAATAAGAAAGGGACAATTGGGCTCACTAGTCAAAATCTTGATTCAAGTGATGATCCAATAGCTTACAAATGTCTTCAATAAACTGAGCTTTGGGGCAGGATGAAAAACAGAAAAATGTAAAACCTCTCTATCGCAATCACCAATAATGGAGGCTAGGCAATTACACCTACAAATCCTTAACGACAGACCTCTCCTAATGACAAACCCTGAGACTTGAGCACTGTGACTTACAGAAGGCCGGTTGGCTTAATGAGGAAATTTACTTTTAATAAAAAGACAATCAGCAATATTTTATTTTGGGCACTTAGTGTTTCACAGATCCTCAATACGTTTTGAGGTAGGTCAAATATTAATAGTGTATTTTACAAACAAAACTCAAGCAGTTGTTTTGTTACTTGTCCCAAACCACAGGAGCAGTTCTATCGTGGTCAGGAATAACAGGGTCTCTCTGACCTTTCAGATTAATCTTTCATGTGTGAAGTTAAGCGTAATCACTTGCAAATATTCGTGAAAAAAACCCAGAAGACTAGATATAGAAATTCTACTTTGGGATATTTTAAACTTCTTAAATTGATCCTATAATGAGTATATACTTGCTCTCATTACAAATATCTATATCTCTGATCTTTACAATTACAAATGAGCACAGGAGTGACTATGTTGCTTTTCTGCCTTTCGGGGTGAGTAGAGCAGGAAGATAATCAGTAAGCTTTCCTCAGAGCACTAGGCAGCCTTTAACTGAAGGTGCTATGTTGGAGGCACCATTGACTATGATTTGGGATCATAGGAGAGCAGGTATACTAATGGAACCAGGATTCAGAAAAGATGCCTGGATCCAAAAAGAGGAGGCTCTCTGCAAGTCAAAGATGAAGAGAAAGATAGTAACATCTGAAGTTACTGATCCTGAGTATCATGGTACAGCATTACAACTACTTGTGAGAGGAGCTCCTACAAGAGCAGTAAGCTTGTCCCAATAAAGTCTGTTAAAGTTCTTGCTAACTAGGTAAGCCACAAGTAAAACTAAATTGTTATTTTATTAAAGTGACATCTATAGAAGCAAATATCTAAACATTTTTAATATGAGTAAGTTTTACCTGTCATGTGAATTACTCTCATTGTCACAAGCCCAATTCTATTAGCTTGTCATAATTCCTAAAATAATGTACCAAAATTCAGCTCATCTTGACATAGGTTCTTGAGCCAGTATTCTGTACTGTTTGATTATAAAGTTCCTTTTATTTAAACAATTGTAGAATATTGGTAATAATAAAGGATTAAGAATAGTTAGCTTGAGCCTAGGAGTAAGGTTGCAGTGAGCTATGATTGCACTACTGCCCTAGAGCTTAGGTGACAGAGAAAGACCCTATCTCAAGAAAAAAAGAGAGAGAGAGAGAGATTAACAACTGAGAAATTAGAAGGAAAACATCATTATTGTGTTATTTAAAAGAGTAAGGATATAGACACCTATGCTTTCGTATAGAACAAACAACCCAATACCATTTGAGTCGAAGAACAAAAGGGAAAAAGCAGGTGGCAGGGGGCATAGAATGCAGAGTATTGAAGCCTTTTACTCTAGTGTCTCCAAAGTTGAGTGTGGAAGTAAAAAGTTTCTACATTTAAAAAGTTTATATAAATTATATGAATTGCAACTTTCATAAAAATCAAAATGAAAGGTTCTGCATAGGACAAAAGATATTCCTAAGCAACATATCGTATTTGCACAAGGCCACTGAATGCCATGGATATTAGTAACAAATGAAAAGCTTAAGTCTATGACAGATTGAACTAAGATTTCAGTTTGGTATTCTATAAGCCCGAGATTGTAAACTACTCTTATTATACAAAAGCTATAATGACTTACAGAGTTTTGTGTAGGACCTCTTGTGCTTCTGCTTGGCACATTATCTACTTTTTAAGTATGTGAAATAAATATAGGCATTTGTGAGAGGTTGTGCAAAATTATTGTATTTACAAAAATGGCACAAAAGTGAATTCAACAGTCATTGCACATCTTCAACAACAAAAGGTATTCTGACTCTACAGAACTGAATAAGAATATTAGCTTCGACGGCAGCTGTTAAGCACTAGGGTCACATAAGTTACACCAGAATGGGCAAATATTGCCCAAGTAAAATTCTACTGTTAAAGCTGAAACAGGTTTAAGGCCATTCAAGTTCAAGCACAGAGATACAAATCTTGTGGAGCCCCATCTAGTTGTTTGAAATAGGTGACCTTTCTTCTAACTTGTGGTCTTAAACCTCTGTTTTACAAAATCCAAAAGGTTTATACAGAAGAAATCAATACAATAGAGATTATATTAAATAAGAGTAACATACAAAGCTGTAATTAAGATGAAGTAATGAAAGTCAAAACATTAAAATTTTAAAACTTGCTTGTTACTTGTTAGAACCAGTACTACACTAGGAGTTAGGTAATACATACAGTTATTTTCAAGTAGTTTACTTGTGTTGCTCTGACATGTCCTCTTCCCCAGTGCACTGTTAAACTAATCAAAAACTCTACACCTGTATATTCCACAATAGCAGCACACATTACTGATACCTGCAAAGCTGTCGGTCTCAAATGACTTAGTGAATGAAAGGAAATAAAAAGGTAAGTAACATATTAAAGAGAAATAATGGGAATTAGCAGCTTCATGCAGTTCAGCTCTTTTAATCAGCCAGCCAGCTTGTTAGCAACAAGGGATGGTTTCCGTTGAGGAAGGTCCTGTGGAGTAGGAATGTGGTCACCAGTGACCTCCGTCTTATCTGGAGCTGCAGTAGGAAGTTGCTTGCTCTTCGTTTTTGCTTTAGCCCTGTTGTAATGCCCAGAATCAAAATATTTTTGCCCTTTCTGCAATCGTTTCCTTAAGAAATCTGAACCTCCAGGCTTTTGTCCCAGATGAGGATACCTTGCTTTTAATTTTGCTTCTTCAGCTTTCTCTGGACTAGTCACTTTATCTTCCTTTTCCTTCTGCTCCTCCGCGGAGGCTGCCTCCAGGACTTCCGCAGCCATAGTTGCTCCCTCTGCAGAGGCGAGAGCCGGGAAAAGGTGCGACTAGTGGGTGTCCCGCGCCGCCTTAGGCCTGCCCGCCGCCGGGCCCGGCTCTCCCAGCCTCTCCCTTCACTTTCCGAGCAATTCGCATTGAAGGGAACTGTGAGACTCTGGCCGGGGCTCCTCCCCTGTGGGCTCTCAAAACCCTCAGGTCTTGGACTCCCCCTCCAACCGCTCACAACTGGTATTTTGCTCTCCGACCATTGCTCTCTTCCCTCCTCTTCTCTCCCTCTTCGTCTCCCTCTCTTCCTCCCGCAGCTCCAGTCTGAGGCCCTTTGCCGATTCCAACTGCAACACCCAATGCTGGACACTAATTCAGCTGAGGTGTAAAATCTGCCTTCTCCTGGCTTTCTCCGGGTACCAGAGCTGTCCCGGTCCTCGGGGGACCCAGGGGACTCGGCTAGAGGAAATCTTGGGGACGCCCGGTTCCTTCTCAGAAAGAGGCTCCGGGTCTCTGGCTTTTGTCTGGGAAGGCCCAGAACCAGACAGACACCCCTGGCTTCCTCTTACCAGCCCTCGCGGGTGCCCAGCACCCCCACATTCCTGCGTCCTCCCCACTGAACTGTCGTCTTCACAGCCTCGTCAAACTTGGCTTAGTCGGGAGTCTAAAGCCAAAGCGTTTAATGTTATCTTGCAAACGTCCTGGCCCCAGTACAAACTAGATAATGACAGCCAGCGGCCCAAAGCAGCACCTTTACCCTTCAGGTTCTCAGGAACCTTGACGCCTTTATCACCAGAGACGGTAACTGGCAAAAGGTTCCCTATATTCAGGCTTTCTTCTCCCTTAAGCCCCGCCCTCCTCCTTCTCCACCGGTTCAAAACCTGCTCCAACCAGTGAAACCTCCTCCGCCATCCTCCCTCTCCCAGCAGTGGCTGGGCTTGAAGGAATCACTCATGTTCACGTCCCCTTCTCCGGGTCTGATTTGTTGCAAATCGAACAGTGTCTGGGATGTTTCCCAAAAAATCCCTCTCATTATCACAGGGAATTCCTGCACGTAATTTAACTTGGCATAACATTTCTATAATTCTAACCTCCACCCTCACCCCTAGTAGAAAGAACGCTCAGCTTAATTAAAATTAAATATCCAAGCTATAAGTATACTCAAAAGGCCTTTATGTTTTTCTCTTCATAAATCTTGTTTTCCTAGAAAAGGTGTTTTTCTCGGTCACCTAAATTACTTCTCTCCACTCTGTCTTACCACTCTTGGTGCATATGTAAAAGACCCCAAAATAACTTCTGGTGGCCTGGGACTCCTTGGGAAAACAGAAAAGGCACCACAAATCCCATTTTGGGAAAAATCTCTGTTTTCCTCATGGAACCCCTGGAAGTAGAGGTGAATAAGTACCTCTCAAAGTCTGTCTTTGTCTTCTGGCTCTGCTTGTTTATTAGGCCCTGGAAACGGTATTCCTAGCACTGTTCTTAAAGGGCCTCACCTGAAGGCCAATAATCCAACAGGGAAATTAGCAAAAAATGAAAAATCTTACAACGACTGGTTCTTCTTCTGGTTGTCTGTGTGGCTATGCACGTGTTATGTGTGCCATGTCTATTAAAAAGAGGGCTAATTAATTGCCTAAGAAAAATAAGTGCTTAAATCAAATATTTTTAAGGGAAAAGTAAAAGTTGTGATACCTTTCAGTTCACGTAACTTTAATATTTAAAAATAAAAACAGTCTTAGGAATTATTGGTAAAATACCAATGTCTTCAAGGTGTAAAAATGCGGCATATGTTAGGCAGGTCAGATACTAGGTTTGCTGTTTTAAGGTTGTAAACTGCTTCTTTATCCTTTAAAAACTGTCAACTTACCTGCTTCACAATTGATAAGGCCAGAAACATATCAAAGTAACCATGCCCCTAACTATGCTGGAAAAAGTCAGACTTCATCTGCATCTGGCACATAATTTAAAAAACTTAACAGGTTTTACATTAAAGTTAAAAATTGCTAAAAGTTACCATTATGACATGTAGTGAAAACTACTAAACATGAATTTACATGCAAGGTGCATAAAAACAGTAAAAAGTGTTTCAGTCAAAAATTAAAAGAAGGTACAAAAATGTACATTTTGCTTAAAAATAAGTTATCTTAAAATTAAATTAATGGATTAAGCAAATTGTAAAAACATTATAAAAATTAATTCTGCAAAGAAAACTCTGTGTGTAAGTATATTAACTAAACTCAAAAGGGTATAACTTTTTTTTCTGTAAATTAAACACTAAAATAAAAGCACCACAAGGTTTTCTTAAAATGCTAATCTACTCTTTAGCAAAATGTGTCAAGGATTATAACAGGTATGTAAAAATCTCACTTCATAGTCAAACTGGTTAAGATTAAATAGAATTGTCTATAAGGTTTCATTAAAATTAGGGTTAACATTAATAAACTAATGAAAGGGTAAAATGTAACTTTCTCTCTTAAACAGAATTTTCATGTAATAAAAAAGGCTAATAAATGGTTTTTGCTTTTCCAAATTTTTAACTCATCATTTTGGCAAAACGAAACAAAACAAACACACAAATGAACAAAAATAATAATCTAAAATTCCATTTCATAATATCAAATGGTTTAAATTTTAAACATATTTAACAGGCTTCCAAAACCAAACTTTAGTCTCAAAATTGTCTTTCCTAACCCCTAAATTTTAGGTCCTGCAAAGGGCCCCTAAAGCATCTGGAACAAAGGTAAACAGGATTATTTAACATGTTTAGGTACATAAAATTGCCAAAACACTGCCTAATAAGTTATATTTTAGGGAATAATATTAACATATGTTCCAAAACTGTATGAAATGTCTAATGTTAGTGTCTGAATATGTGCTATCAATCACAATTAAGGTTGTTATGTTGGGTTATTGTAAACCACAAAAATGACTAAATTTCTTTGTTAATTGTGTTTCTAACTGTATCCAAACTGGACATTTTGTCATTTGCACACAATTGTTGTTTCGTTTTAATTCTTTTCAAAAGATGGTTTATAATCAAGCTGCGGGACTTTAACAAGTGCTCTCAAACATGAGTTTCTCACAACAACAACAAAAAATGTACAAAATTCATGGAAAGCTAAAATGTTTATAAATATCAAGCAAAATTTAAGAAAATGGACTAAACTAATAGAAAACCAAAACAAGTTTTTACCTTTTGCTTAAAACACTGCTAATCCTTATTTTATTTTTTCAGAGTCAAGAAAACTTGTCTTAAGCTAGTGACAGACTTTCACAGCTAAGTAAAGTATATTCCTGTAAATAGGATTTAAAGCGTGTTTCTCTCTGCCTAGGTCCTCTAGAATTTAAAAACTAGTTATAAGTATTCTTAAATTACACCAATATAGTTGTTTGCATAAGTGCGATAAGAAACTGTTTTCTGGGCCGGTCACGGTGGCTCACGCCTCTAATCCCAGGACTTTGGGAGGCCAAGGCGGGCGGATCACGAGGTCAGGAGATCGAGACCGTCCTGGCTAACACGGTGAAACCCCATCTCTACTAAAAATACAAAAAATTAGCTAGGTGTGGTGTCAGGCGCCTGTAGTCCCAGCTACTCAGGAGGCTGAGGCAGGAGAATGGTGTGAACCTGGGAGGCGAAGCTTGCAGTAAGCTGAGATCGCAACACTGCACTCCAGCCTGGGTGGCAGAGCAAGACTCCATCTGAAAAAAAAAAAAATCTGTTTTCTGGCCGGGTGAGGTGGCTCACGCCTGTAGTCCCAGCACTTTGGGAGGCTGAGGCGGGTGGATCACCTGAGGTCGGGAGTTTGAGACCAGCCTGACCAACATGGAGAAACCCTGTCTCTAGTAAAAATACAAAATACAAACTTTGCTGGGCATGGTGGCACATGCCTGTAATCCCAGCTACTGGGGAGGCTGAGGCAGGAGAATTGCTTGAACCTGGGAGGCGGAGATTGCAGTGAGCCGAGATTGCGCCATTGCACTCCAGCCTGGGCAACAAGAGCAAAACTGTGTCTCAAAAAAAAAAAAAAAAAAAAAAAAAGAACCTGTTTTCTTTTGTAACAGAACACAATTGGAGAAACTGGTTATTTTGCCAAGGCTTTGACTGGAATGGTGTGCTCTCCTTTAAGGAATCAAACTTGACTTATGGAGCCAATATAGCCCTTGGACACTGGCCTCAGATTCTGTGTACACAGCCCCTGTACAGGGTTTCTGACCTGTGGTAAGTAAAGAATGTCAGTTTCTCGCAGGCCAGGAACCCCAAGTTATCTTAAAACCTGAAGAGGAAAGGAATTCTGCCAACTCATAGGTGTTTAATAGTACAAATCCATGGCTGGGCTTGGCTTCAAAAAGTCTTATCTCAAATTCCTTCTATGAAACAAAGTGCCATCAAAGCCAATTTAAAAGGCCTATGTAGCAAATAGTTATTCTTGCTGAATTGTATGCAAATAATTAAGCCAAGTATAATAAAGCAAATCAGTCCTACCATGACTTGTCTTTTAATAAACATGGAAAACGGAACAGAGAAAATTATGTTTCAAACACTATAGCACACCTGTTGTTAAATTCTAGTCTTGCCTAATATTTTTCAGTTTTTACTATTTGCTACAGTTTAACTTATATCCATTACAGAAATCAACTCCTAAATACATCACACTCAAGTCAAAGCTTAAAAATCTGAGGAAGCAACTCCTAACAGCCCAGAGAAATGTCCCAAATATCAATGTACAAAACATAAATAATCTTAAGCTAAAAGCACAAAAAATAAGTTCGTAAGTAAAAATTACTCATCTTACTCAGTCTCACCTCTATCTCACCAAATACTTTTTGTCATTTCTACTTCTCGTTTTAAGCCAAATATTAAAACGTTTTTAATGGAAATTATTTACTATGCCACCCTTGCAGGAATTGCTTTACTCACTTTACTATTTGCAGGAAAACTATATACGGTAGCACCCTCAGGGTAAAATATCGGACAGAGAATCTCAATTACTGTAGCATTTTGCTTAATTATGATCCTCATAGTAGGAATAACAGTTACTAACAAAAAATAACACATAGGCCTTTCCAAACATGTGCCTCTACCTCTCATTGGAAAAAAAAAAAAGTTGCTTCTATCTCAACCAATCAGGCCTAATAAAAAATGCTGCTAAAAAGCCCAGGACTCATGTTTTTACCCTACCTAATTCAGCTTTTTCAAAAATTCTTAACCAATAGAATCATGGCTATTTCACAAACAACTACCCAAAACATCTACAAATGGCATTGCTCCTTCAGCCAATCCAAAACCAGAAATCTGTCTGCCACCCCCCCCCCAGCAGGAAGTAGCAAAACAAACAAACAAACAAAAATATTGCCCCTCATCCTTTTATAACTATAGGGTCTAGAATGACAGGGCAGGAGCACCGTCATGTCAGTCAAACATCGCCACTTTAATTTCCAGCCCCTTTTCTAGCCTCCTGCATTTCAAGGAAGTCACTTCTCTTCTAACTACAAGCAGCCGGAAGGAGCAGACAGTAAAACACAGATAAGACACCTTGGGCACAGAGGGAGGGGGGAAAGTCTCTTGGGTAACAGCCAAACTTCACCCTCATACAATGGGCCCCAGTGAAACAGTGGGCCCTAGTAAGCACATTCCTTTCCCTTTACGTGCACTAAGATAGGGAAGCTAAAAGTAGACTCGGGGTATACCTGCAGCTTCAGGAAAATGGATGGAAATGCACACAAACTCTCCCTCCCAGATAAGCGAGACAAAGAAACACAAGAAACATTCCAAGCCTATAATAAGCTGTCCCACATCAAACCCTTAAAAACTCTTAGTGTGTAAGAAAAAATGCCTCTAACCTAACTTGGCCAGAAGCCCCTCTCAAGTTTATTCTCCAAAATAAACCTGTCTTTAATTGTTAAGCCACTTTTGGTGTTTCTTTTCTCTTTCTTTCTTACACTAGTAAGCTAAGCTTATAGGCTAAAAAGCTATAAGTAGGGAATGATTTTTAAAGCTCAGTGTTATTATGGGTAGTAGTCTTAAAGAATAGCACAATAGCATATATTTGAAAACAGCAAAATGAATTCTCTGCATGCAATAGAAGTTCCATGCAAGAGAGAGTCAGGAGGAAACACAAGGAAGGTGGAGGGGCACTCATAGAAGGTCTCCGCTGAGTTTTCACATTCGCCTTATCTTTTTTATTATGTGTATTTAAGGTACACAAGATAATGTTTTGATACATGTTCATAGAGAAATGATTACTACAGTCAAGCAAATTAACATCTATCATTTTGTGTGCATGTGGTTAAGAGCCCCTAAAATCTATCCTCTTAGAAAATTTGCAGTATACACTACAATATCATTGACTATAGCCCTCATGTTGTACTTCAGATCTCTGGATGCATGCGTCTGTATCACTGAGACTTCGTATCCTTTAATATACATCTCCCCAGTTCCTGCCACAGGTGTGTTCAGAGTTACAGTGTTTCAGGATCAGGTCAGGGCCTGCCTCTCTATGACGGCTCAGCTTGTGCCTGGATTCAGGGAACACTTAGAGAGACCTTGGCTCCAGGGCCTGGAGTGTACACCAGCTTGGTATGGTGATGGCTCCAGTCTCTGAAGCGTGGGCATCCATGGAGCAGCTGAGGCTTGGGGGTTATGGCATGCATGAGGTTGAGAGAGGAGGCAGGTGATTTCCCAAAGTGGCTCAACAGCAGCAGCTTCTTGGGTAAGGGAGGGTTGTGAAGCTGTGCCTTCCTCTATGGGGTTCCCCCAACAGAAATATCTGTTTCTTAACTCAGTGACAAAACATGCCAGTGTCTTGTTTGAAGAAGGCCCCTGGGGACCATGGTGGTTCCTGCCATGCGGCTGATATCAGTAGCTTTCACCTTTCTTCTTTGACCCTAGCCATCTCCTGGAGTCTCAGATATGCCAGTCTCACCAGTGTTCTTTTCTGTGGATAGCCTCCTTTTTTATTGTATTTTGTTGTTGTTATTGTTTTTGCTCCACTGTGTTGCCTCACATTCTTTAATGTGCCTTTGAGCCCTCTTAGAGATATTTTCATTTGTGGATAGCTATTTATTTTCTTTGGGGGTGGATAAAGGCTAGTATCTCCAGTTTTGCCATCTTGATGACACTCCCCACCACAATTTGTTTGTTTCCATATCTTGGCTATTGTAAACCATGCTTCAATGAACATGGAAGCACATATATGTTTACAAGGTGGTGATTTCACTTCCTTTGAGTATATAGCCAGAAGAGGGATTACTGGGTCATATATTAGTTCTATTTTTTAAAATTTCTAGAGGAAACTCCACATTGTTTTCCAATATGACTGCAACAATCTACATTTCCAACAGTGTCAATGGGTTTTCTTTACTATACACCCTCACCAACACCTGTTATATCTTGTCTCTTTGATAATGGCTATCCTAACAGTTGTGAGATGGTATCTCATGGTTTCGATTGTCATTTCCCTGATGATTAATGATGTTGGACATTTTTATATTCCTGTTAGTCATTTGTATGTCTTCTTTTTAGATGTGTCTATTCAGGACCTTTGCCCGTTTTAAAAACTGGATTATTTGTTTCATTGCTATTGAGTTGAGTGTTAGTTCCTTATGTATCTTGAGTACTAAAGTCTTATAAGATATATAGCTTGCAAATATTTTCTCCCAATTGATTGGCTGCCTATTCATTTTGTTGATTGTTTCCTTTGGCACGCAGAAGCTTTTTAGTTTGATGTAATGCCCCTTACTTATTTTGGCTTTTATTGCTTGTGCTTTTGGTGAATTATTTTTTAAAAAATCCTTTTCAGACTAATGTCAAGAAGTTTTCCTGTATTTTTTTTAGAATTTAAATGTTTTGAGGTATTATTTTTTAAGCTTTTAGTCCATTTTGAGTTTGTTTTTGTGTGTGGTGTAAGATAGGGGTCAGATTTCTTTTGCGGGCAGATGTCCGGTTTTACCCACATCAGTTATTGAAGAGACTATCAATTTCCCATTTTGTCTTCCTGGTGAACTTGTTGACAATTAATTGGCCATATGTGCTTGGGTTTATTTATGAGTTTCTTATTTTGTTCCATTGGTCTATGTGTTGGCTTTTATGCCAGGAGCATTCTGTTTGATTTCTGTAGCTTTGCAATACATTTTGAAGTCAGGAAGTATGATGCTCCAACCTTATTTTTCTGTCTCAATATTATTTTGATATTTAAAACTTTTTGTGGGTTTATACAAATTTTAGTATTTTTTGTTTCTGTGGAAAATGCCATTAAAATTTCTATGTAGTGTTAAACCTATCGATCATTTAGGATATATAGAAATTTTAGCAGTATTAATTCTTCCAAACCAAAACACAGGATATCTTTCTATTTATTTATTTATTTACTTATTTATTGAGAGAAGGTCTCACTCTGTCACCCACGCTGGAGTGCAGTGGTGTGATCATAGCTCACGGAACCCTCAAATTCCTGGGCTCAAGTGATCCTCCCTCCTCAGCCTCCCCATTAGCTGGAACTACAGGCATGTGCCGCAATGCCTGACTAATATTTTAGGATTTTTTTTGTTTTTGTAGAGATGGGGTCTTCTTTCTGTTTATTAATGTTCTCTTTAATTTCTTTCATCAATGTTTTATAGTTTTCAGTATACAGATCTTTTACCTGAACCAGGCATGGTGATTCACACCTGTAATCCCAACAATTTGGGAGGCCACTAGAGGACAGGAGTTTGAGACCAGTCTGGGAAACATAGCAAGACCCCATCTCTAAAAAAAAATTTTTCTTTGGAAAGGTGGTTCAGATCTTTTATTTCCCTTGTTAGATTTATTCCTATCGTTTTGTAGCTTTTGTAAATGGTATTGTTTTCTTGACTTCCTTTGTAGATATTTCTTTGTTAGTGTATAGAACCAGCTGATTTTTATGTTGATTTCACGTCTTGTAACTTTACTGAATTTATTTATTATTGCTAATAAGTTTTTTTGGTGGAATATTTACAGTTTTCTAAGTAAAGGATCATATTATATGCAAACAGAGACACTTTTACTTCTTCCTTTCTGATTCGTATGGCTTCTCTTTCTTTTTCTTGTCTGATTACTCTTGCTAGTACTTTCAGTACTGTGTTAAATAGAAGTGGCAAGAAGGAACATCCTTTTCTTTTACCAGACCTTAGCAGAAGCTTCAGTTTCCCTCATTGATAATGATATTCTTTGTGGACTTGTCATAAATGGCCTTTATTATGTTGAGGAAATTTCCTGCCATCTTTATCTGTTTGGGCTGCAATAGCAAAATCTCTTAAAATAAGAAATTATAAACACGAAAAATTTATTGCTCACAGTTCTGGAGGCCGATAAGTCCAAGATCAAGGCATTAGCTGATTCAGTGTCTGGTGAGAGCTTGTTCTCTGTTTCAAGATGGCATCTTCTTATTTTTACATGGTAGAAGGATGAACAACTCTTTTAGGCCTCTTTTATAAAGGCACTAATCCCATTTTTGAGGGAGAAACCCTCCTGACTTAATCATCTCCTAAAGCCCACACCTCTTAATACTATTGCTTTGGGGTTTAGGTTTCAACATATGAACTTTAGAGACACAAACATTCATACCACAGCATCTTCTATATCTATTTTCCTTGGATTTTTTAACCATGAAAGGATATTAAACTTCATCAAATGTGCTTATTGCATCTATAGAGATGATTATGTGGTTTTAATCTTTCATTCTCTTAATGTGGTTTATCATATTGATTGTTTTGCATGTACTAAACCAACCTTGTATCCCAATGATAAATCTCACTTGGTCATGGTGTATAAACTTTTTGATGTGTTGTTGAATTTGGTTTGCTAGCAATTTATCAAAGATGTTTTGCATGTATGTTAATCAGAGATATTGGTCTGTAGTTTTTTTTACTTGTGGTGTGTTTGGTTTTGGTATTAGAGTACTGCTGGACTCATAAAGCGGTTAGAAGTGTTTCCTCTATTTTTATTTTTTGGAAAAGTTTAAGAAGGATTGGTGTTATTTCTTCTTTGAATGTTTGGTAGAATTCAGTTGTGAAGCCAATTGGTCTTGGATTTTTCTTTGCTGGGAGGCATTTTATTACTACTTTAATATCTTTGTAATTGGTATGTTCCGGCTTTCCATTTATTCTTGGTTCAGCCTTAGTAGGTTGTATGTTTCTAGGAATTTACCCATTTCCTCTATGTTATCCAATTTGTTGGCATATAATTGTTCATAATAGTCTCTTATGATCCTTTTTATTTCGAGGGATCTGTTGTAATGTCTCCTCTTTAATTCTGCTTTTGTTTCTTTACTTTTTTTCTTAGTATAGCTAAGAGTTTGCCAATTTTATTCTTCTCTAAAAGGCAATTTTTATTTTTGGTATTTTTCTATAGTTTTTCTACTTTCCGTTTGACTTTTTTCTATTCTAATCCCTATTATTTTCTTCCTTTTGCCAGCTTTGGCTTAGCTGCTTCTTCTTTTTCTAGTTCCTTGATGTGTACAGTTAGGTTGTTTATTTGATATCTTTCCACTTCTTAAATTTAGGCATTTATCACTACAAACTTTCTTCATACTACTGCTTTTATTGCATCCCATAACTTTTAGTATGTTTTTTCAGTTTTATTCAGTTCAAGATGTATTTAAAATTCTCTTTTTGATCCAGTAGTTTTTAAGATTATGTTAGTTTCCATGTATTTGTGAATTGTCCACCTTTCTTCGTTATTGATTTCTAGTTCCACTTCATTGTGGTCAGAAAAGATACTTCATACAATTTTGATCTCCTTAAATTTGTTAAAACTTGTCTTGTGGCTTCACATGTGATGTATTTTGGAGAATGTTCCTTGTAAGCTTAAAAAGAATGTGTATTCTTCTGCTGTTGGGTGAAAAGTTCTGTACATGTCTGTTAAGTCCATTTGGCTAACGGTGTTGTTCAAGTTCACTATTTCTTGATTTTCTGCCTGGATATTCAATTTAATACTGAAAGTGGAGTGTTAAAGTTTCCTATTATTGTTCTACTGCTGTCAATTTCTCCTTTCTTCTCTCTCAATGTTAACTTTAGGTGCTGTAAAGTTGGTTGCATATACGTTTACAATTATTCTATCTTCCTGTTTAATACACCCTTTTATCATTACGTAATAACCTTCTTTGTCTCTAGGGACAACTTTTGACTTAAAGTTTACTTTGTCTGATATATGTATAGCCACTCCTATTTTCTTTTGATTACCGTTTGCATGGTAACATATCCCTCTTATCTAACAAAAGTTTTGTACTCCTTGGCAAACATCTCCCTATTGCCTCCCCTGCCCCCAGCCTCTGGTAGTCACCATTCTACTCTGCTTCTGAGTTAAGCTTTTTTGCATTCCACATATAATTAAGAGCATGCAGTATTTGTCTTTCTGTGCCTGGCTTATTCGTTTAGCATGATGTTCTCCAGATTCATCCATGTTGTCACAAATAAGAGGAATATTTTCTTTTTAAAAATCAGTAGTGGCTCAGTCAGTCGCTCTGTGCGTGCCATGGCGCTCGGGAGGGGGCGGCTCCTCTGGTGCCCGGCGTCAAACATGGTGGAGGCGGTGGATCTGGGCAAAGACCCCAACGGGCCCAACCATTCCTCGATTCTGTTCACCAGGGAGGACGGCAACTCTAGGTCCTTATACCTGCTGCCCAGCCCAGCCAAGCAGCTGCTGCACCACTCGGTGCAGGAACCCAGGCCACACCGCTGGCCCAGCCTGGGGACGCCTCCAGCAGCTTTGTTGTCTGCGCAGTGCGTCCCGGACCGCGTAGAACGCTGCAGCGGCTGGAGCTGGCGGCCTATGGGCTGGGCCCCGCCTACGCGGCCCACTCGGGCACCGGCGGTGGGGGGGGGGGGTCCCTGGCAGAGCGCGCCGTGGAGCCCAAGCCGTAGTCGCTGGTGGGGCCGCCTTCAGGGATGCGGGTGACGTGGCTTTTCAGGCCTACGTGAAGGAAAATGCCTGCTCGCCCTGTTCGGTCGCGGGCAAAGCCTGTGGGAAGCGATGGAGGAAAGCCGGCTCGCGGAAGAAAGGCCCCTCAGAACCTATGGGGCCAGGAGCAGGGAATGCCCCAGGAGCCCCCGCTGCGCTCCCAGACGCTCAAGCAGAAGGCAGAGCAGGACCCGGAGCCTGAGGATTGCCGGGAACCATGGAATAAGAGAATTCCAGCTTTGCCTGAAGAACATGTGAAGGAAGAAACCCAGAAGCATGAAGCAGCCATCAAAAAACATGCCTGCGGAAGCCACCAGGGAGTTGGATGAGAGCCCTGATTTTTTTTTTTTAATTTTTTTATTTTATATTTTTCAAGACAGTTAAAGCATTGAAATGTTTAAGCGGGTGACTATATAATTCATAACATGACTCAGTGAAAACAAATTTAGTATGAGACTGAGAGGTGACAACGTGCTGGTGACCCGTGCTCGCTCTCAGTGCTTCCTGGGCTTCCATTCTGGCCACCTTGAGGAGCCCTTCAACCCGCCGCTGCACTGTGGGAGCCCCTGTCTGGGCTGGCCGAGGCTGGAGCCGGATCCCTCTGCTTGTGGGGAGCTGTGGAGGGAGAAGCATGGGTGGGAACCGGGACTGTGGTGGCGCTCGCAGGACCCAGGCCAGCAGCTGTGGAGGGTGCGTGGGGTCCCCCAGCACTGCCAGCCCACCCACGCCCTGCTCGATTTCTTGCCAGGCCTCAGCCGCCTCTGGCGGGGCAGGGCTCGGGACCGGCAGCCCGCCATGCCTGAGTCCCGCCCCCCCAACCTGCACGGTGGGCTCCTGCGGGCCCGACCCTCCACGACTGCAGCGTCCGGTCCCATCAAGTGCCCAAGGGCTGAGGAGTGCAGGCGTGCTGCGCAGAACTGGCGGGCAGCTCCACTTGTGGCCCCTGCAGGGGATCCACTGGGTAAGCCAGCTGGGCTCCTGGGTCGGGTGAGGACTTGGAGAACTTTTATGTCTAGAGGGAGAAGTGTATATGCACCAGTCAGCACTCTGTGTCTAGCTAGGGATTTGCAGATGCACCAATCAGCATTCTATCTAGCTAATCTGGTGGGGACTTGGAGAACTTTTATGTCTAGCTGGAGGATTGTAAATGCACCAATCAGCACTTTGTGTCTAGCTCAGGGATTGTAAATGCACCAGTCAGCACCCTGTCAAAATGGACCAATCAGCTCTCTGTAAAATGGACCAATCAGCAGGATGTGGGTGGGGTCAGATAAGGGAATAAAAGCGGCTGCCAGAGCCAGCACCGGCAACCAGTTTGGGTCACCTTCTGCCCTGGGCAAGCTTTGTTCTTTAGCTCTTTGCAGTAAATTATGCTGCTGCCCACTGTTTGGGTCTGCAGTGCCTTTGTGAGCTGTGATACTCATCTCTAAGGTCTGCAGCTTCACTCCTGAAGCCAGAGAGACCACGAACCCACCAGAAGGAAGAAACTCCAAACACGTCCGAATATCAGAAGGAACAAACTCCAGACACACCATCTTTAAGAACTGTAACACCGTGAGGGTCTGTGGCTTCATTCGTGAAGTCAGGGAGACCAAGAACCCACCAATTCTGGACACAAGATGAAAATGACTTGTCAGGGATTTTCGTGCTCCTGCTTAAGTAATTACTATGAAGTAACAGTTTCTGGAAATGAAGAATAATGTGTGAAGAATAAATTACCATTGGTGTGGGGGAGGGGAGAGGCAAACAGGAGAAGTAGAAAAAGGTGTAGCCAGTGTACCAGTGTTATCTACAGTGTAGTTCTATGCCTTTTCTACTTGACCAGGTCGCTTAGGTCCATTCTGTGGGTAAATATTTTTAACACTAAAGTGATTATAAATGAAAAAGTGGCCAATAAAGTGACTACTTTCCTCAGGGCTTTGAACCAGTTGGGATAATGTGGCAAAAGAAACAGATGTGTAATGCTATCCCCGTTACCTATGATTGCTATGGCTTCGCTGAGTCTTTCAGAAATAAGGCAAACCGTGAAAACAACAGGAACTGTACTATTAGCTAAATGAAGGAAGTCGGGTTTGGCTGGACTGCCTTCTGATACAGCAAAACCCCATCTGACCACCACAAGGATAGGAAACTGGCTCCATCTGAGTAAAGGCTAATAGGGGAATATAAGTCTTTGTCATTAGCAGGACCAGTGGTGGACCAATGAAGGGGATTAGTCCTGCCAGAGTTACCTATAATGCTGGCTTTGGGCTGTCAGGCAGGTACATGATGGTGCTTGGTGGCCTGGCTGGAAGTACTGCTTACTCCTGCTTTTTAAAGTTGCAGGGGGATGTATGATAGCATTGTGTCTTGTTCATATACACTGGAAATGTTGGGAAAATCCAAGGCCTCGGAAACAAAGGGGAAAAGTTCTGCTGGAGAGACGTCTTGAGAGAACGTGTATCTGTTCCTCTGCTGGCTCCTAGTCCCACTGCAAAAGAGTACTTAAGCATCTTAGCAGATGCTTGAGAAAACTTCAGGATGAAGCGAAACATACTGGGCCCTATTGAAAGTCTTGTTCAGGAGGATGCCAGGCAGTTCTGATTAACGTATTGTTACAGCTAAATGGAGGCATTGGATCAGAGGCATGGTTTTGTTAGCATCTCGCAGAAAGATGGAAAACTGAACTGCGAGAACCGTCCAGGACTCCTGGAAAGGCAATTCCTACAAGTGGATCAAGAGCCCTGATTTTGAAATACATATAACAATGTGTGATGATAATCCACCCATGCCTGAGGAAGACAGAAGGACAGCAGGAGGGTGAGAATGGGGAAGAGGAGGAGGGGGAGAGACAGAAGAGGAGGGGGAGAGACAGAGGAGGAGGGAGAGAGATAGAGGAGGAGGGAGAGAGACAGAGGAGGAGGGGGACTTTCTCCACCAGGGGTGGGAGCTTGCCATTAAGATCATTCGGCAGTTAATGGAAAAATTTAACTTGGATCTACCAACAGTTACACAGGCCTTCTTAAAAAATAATGGTGAGTTGGAGGCTACTTCCTCCTTCTTAGCGGCTGGTCAGAGAGCTGATAGATACCCCATTTGGTCCCAACAAGGTGACATAGATCTGCAAAAAGATGATGAGGATACCAGAGATGCATTGGTCAAAAAACTTAGTGCTCAGAATGTAGCTTGGAGGATTGAGTTTTAAAAGAAATAATTGGCAAGGTAAAGAGAAAAAAAAGTCGTGGCAGAAGTGGTTAAAAAAAAATTGTGACCATTGAACTTTAGAGAGTTCTTGCGTTCGAACTGGCACTTACCTTCTGACCAATGCTGCCATTGCTGTGAGAGTCCTAGATTTTGTAGCCAGAGTTGTGTAGCAGGGATAAAAAGAAAAGAAATTGGATATACATAGAGCTCTCCTTGGCAAGGGTCAATGTGTTTATGAAAGCAAAATCTAAACCAGAGAGGAGTTGGTCCTCAGTAGTAATCCTTTGCTGGAATGAACCCTTGCTATATTAGTG
Source organism: Homo sapiens (assembly GCF_000001405.40). Taxonomy (NCBI): domain Eukaryota; kingdom Metazoa; phylum Chordata; class Mammalia; order Primates; family Hominidae; genus Homo; species Homo sapiens. Next base: position 180,966,884 of record NC_000005.10, on the reverse strand, counting down.
ACAGAGTCAAAGGAAATTTAGGAGGCGTAGGCCATTTCAGGCAGCATAAGCGATCTCCTTTCCTTTGGCAGAAGCTCCTTAAAATTGTGACAGATTCCATATCAAGAATCTGGAAATACGGAAAGATTTCATTATGAGGCCTTGAACATGGATTATCTCCAAACCTAGTGAGCTCTGATTTCTAGACTGCTTTGAAAAATCCCATATTCATTTTGCTTAGTATTTGGGGACACTACTCCTTGGCTGTTCTTTTCTTTGAGCCCTTCTCAGTCGTGTCTGTAGGATGTCTTTCTTTACCTACGACTCAGTTTTGTTTAAAACACACACACAACCATAGAGAATCTCAAGAATAATCGTACTCCATTAATAATAATGTTTTTATTTATTGAGCATAGTTTGTTCTAAGCATTGTGTTAGATTTAAAAATTAGTGCATTGACTCCACTTCGTTTTTTTGGTTTTTGGTTTTTTGGTTTTTTTTCGGTTTTGAGACGGAGTTTTGCTTTTGTCGCCCAGGCTGGAGTGCAGTGGCACGATCTCGACTCACTGCAACCTCCGCCTCCCAGTTTCAAGTGATCCTCCTGCCTCAGCTTCCCAAGTACCTGGGATTACAGGTGCATACCACCACGCCCAGGTAATTTTTGTCTTTTTAGTACAGACAGGGTTTCACCGTGTTGGCCAGGCTGGTCTTGACCTCCTGACCTCAGGTAATCCACCCCCCTCGGCCTCCCAAAGTGCTGGGATTACAGGCGTGAGCCACCACGCCCAACCTGACTCTACTTTGTTTTGCTATTTACTGAAAATGAATATAACTTTGTATTTGAAAAAAATTGAACAGTATTCCATTGTGTATATATACCACATTTTCTTCCTCCATTCATCCACTGATGGATGCATAGGTTGACTCCATATCTTAGTTCTTGTTAATAATTCTGCAGTGAACATGGGACAGCATATACCTCTTTAGCACATTGATTTCAATCTTTTGATATTTACCCAGTAGGGGGATTGCTAGATAATAATGGTATTTCTATTTTTAGTCTTTGAGGAACTTCCATACGGGTTTAGATAATGGCTATACTAATTTACATTCCCACCATTAATGTACAGGATTCATAGTTTTGTCAACACTTGTTAGTTTTTGTCTTTTTGATGATAGCCATTCTATTAGCTATGAGGTAATATCTTCTTGTGTTTTTAATTTTTATTTCCCTGATGATTAGTGATGTTGAATGTTTTTAAATGAAACTATTGGTCATTTATATGTTTTTTGAGAAACGTCTCCTCAGGTTCTTTGCCCGTTTTACAACTGTGTTATTTTTCTAACTATTGAGTTTTTACGTTCCTTATAAATTTTGGATATTATCCTCATCAGATATATGCTTTGAAAATATTACTCTTACTCTACAGTTGTCTCTTCACTTTGTTAACTGTTTACTTCACTGTGAGAAGCATTTTAGTTTAATGCTATTCCATCTGTATTTTTGCTTTCATTGCCTGTGCCTTCGGGGTGATACTCAAAAAATAATTACTCAGGTCTATGTCGTGGAGCTTTTACCTTCTTTTTTTCTAGCACTTTTACAGTTTCAGGCCTTATATTTAAGTCTTTATTTTGAGTTTATTTTTATACATGGTGTGAGGTAAGTTCTTAAATTCTTTCTTCTGCGTGTGGGTATCCAGGTTTTCCAAGACCATTCATTGAGGAGACTGTTCTTTCCCCATTGTGTGTTGTATACATCTTGATTAATCAATTGTTTATAAATTCATGGATGTTCACTGGACTCTATATCCTGCTTCTTTGGTTGACATGTCTGTTTTTATGCCAGAAACATGATGTTTTGATTACTATAGCTTTGTAGTGTATATTTAAGTCAGGTAATGTGATGTCTCTAGCTTTGTTGGTTTTGGTCAAGATTGCTTTGGCTATTTGGGGTGTTTTGTGGTTCCATGTAAATTTTAAGATTTTTTTTCTAATTACGTGAAAAGTATTATTAAAATTTTGACAGGGATTCTATTGAATTTGTACATTGTTTAAGGATAGTATGGACATTTTAATATTACATCTTCTGAATTATGAACATGGAATAACTTTCTGTTTGTGTTTTTACCAATTTCTTTATCAATGTCTTGTAGTTTTCTGCATATAGATCTTTCATCTTAAATAAATTCACTCCTAAGTATTATTTTTTGTAGCTATCATAAATGGGATTATATATTAATTTCCTTTTTGGATAGTTTGTTAGTGTACAGGAACACTACTGATTTTTACAATATGATTTTGTTTCCTACAACTTTGCTGAATTAGTTTATCAGTTATAACAGGTTTTGGTGGAGCGTTTAGGTATTTCTATATACACTATCATGTTGTTAGCAAACAGATAATTGCATTCCTTCCTTTCCAATTAAGATGCCCTTTATTTCTTATTCTTGCCTAATTTCTCTGGCTAGAACATCTAGTACTATGTTGAAAAGAAGTGGAAAGAGTGGGTATTCTTGTCTTGTCCTTGATTATTGAGGAAAAGCTTTCAACTTTTCACCACTGAGTATGTTGTTAGATGTGGGCTTGTTATATACGGTCTTCATTGTGATAAGGTACATTTCTTCCATACCTAATTTGTTGAAAGTTTTTATGGTGGAAGAAAGTGTTGAATTTTGTAAAGTGCATTTCCTGCATCCATTGAGATGATCATATGGTGTTTGTCCTTCGTTTTGTTAATGTGATGTGTCACATTTATTGATTTACATATGTTGAACCATTCTTGCATGCCTAGGATAAATCTCACTTGATTACAGTGCATGATCTTTTTAGTTTTGTTAAATTCAGTTTGCTAATATTTTGTTGAGGAGTTTTGCATATTTATTCTTCAGGAATAGTGGCCTGACCCTGTGTATCCAGTCCCAGGTTAGCCCCTGAAGCCTCAGGACCCAAGCCAGCCATCTCAAACCTAGCCACTAGCTTAGCACGGATACATTTAGCCTGAAGACCAACACCAGTGGACACAGGCTCCAGGACAGCTACTGTGGCTTCAGTGACAAGGCCAGCACTGACAATCCTAGGCCCCAGGCCAGTTCCTGCAGATTCAGGCTCCATGCCATCCTCAGTACTAGGATGTTCTCAGGCTCTAGACCAGTCTCAGCTGCTCCATGACCCAGAGTCTGCTCCAGCAGACTCAAGGTGCAGGGACATTAGACTCCAGTGCCAGGAAGGATTCTATGAATTGAAGTTCTAAGTCCACTCCTGAAGACAAAGGCTTTGGGCCAGCCACCATGGATTCCAACTTCAAGGACATTTTACTGGTCTCAGTTGCCAGGTCAGCCCCAGAACAAGGCCAGTCCTTTTGGGCTCAGGTTCCAGGCCCATTCCAGTGGATCCAGATGCCAGAGCCATCGTTGTGCCTATCCAGCCCCTGCAGACTCAGGCTCAAGGCCCACACCAGCACCGGGTCATCCCTGTGGATCTAGACCTTAGGCAGCTCCAGCAGATACAGGCTCACCCTCATAGACACAGCCTCTAGGACCATCCCCACAGACTCAATCAATAGGTCTACCTAAGGGGATCAAGGTTTCAGGCCAAACCCACAGACCTAGAAGTCAGTTCTTCCCACCTGCTGACTCAGGCACCAGGCTGGCCTGCCAAAGGACTCTTGTAGCAACGCTGACCTCAGACCATCACAGAGACCCTTGCTAAAATCTCTAGATGAGATGACTGGTGAAAATGTTTCCCAGACAAATCCAGTCTGCAAAGACTGGAATAATCTTTACTTTGTCAAATGTGCAGACATCAACATAAAGCAAAAAGAAACAGGAAAAACTAAAGAGATATAATACCACTAAAGGAACACAATAAACTCCCAGTGCCAAACTCCAAAAAAATGAGGATATACAAACTGCCTGACAAAATATTTAAAATAATAGTTTTAAGGAAGCTCAGTGAACTTCAAGAAAGTAGAAACGATTCAATGAAATCATAAAAATAATAAATGACCAAAATAAGAAATTTAACAGATATTTAAATTATTTATAAAATCAAACAGATATTCTGGAGTTGAAAAATACAATTAATGAAATTTAAAGAGTATCAATAGCAGAATTGATCAAACAGAAGAAAGAATATGTGAACTCTAAGACAGTTTATTTGAAAATATACAGTCAGAGGAGGAAAATAGTACAAAAGGAATGGAGAAAGTTTATAAGACCTATGGAATGGTATCAGAAGAGCAAATGTTTGAATTATAGGAGTTTGTGAGGAGCAGAGAAAGATAAAGGGATAGAAGGAGTAAAGAAATAACAGCAGAAAACTTTCCAAATACAATAAAAGCTATAGATATCCAGATACAAGAATATCAAAGGTCTGCAATAAGTTTCAATCCAGACCAGAAATATAGCAAGACTTATTATAACCCAACTGTAATAAGTGAAGAACAAAGAGGGAATCCTGAAACTAAGATAAAATAACTAAATAACACATATGGTGGTTTGAATGAGGCTTGGACCCATTAGCAGATTTCTCAACAGAGAATGTGGGATGATACAGTCAAAGTGCTGAAGCAAGCAAACAAACAACAACAAAAACTACCTACCAAGAATAATGTACAAGGAAAATTGTCTTTTGGAAATGAAGGAGAAATTGAAACAAGTAAAAGCTGAGGAAAGACCAAGATGGCTGCCTACAGGCACCCAGCACTCACCTCCTCCACAAGGAAGAACCAAAACAGCATGTAGGTAATCACACATTGAATATAGCGTGTAGGGAAGAAATGCTGGAATCCAGAAGGGAAGCAACTGAAACACTCTGAGGCATGAAAGCTTGAGATGGCAGCACAGAGGGGGAAGTGAGGCATCCAGTCAGATTAGCGCAGAGCCAGGAGGGACTCCCATCGGAGGAAAAGGCAAGTAAGAGATCCTCAGCAGTCCACATGCCAGAGTCCTGTAGTACATGCTACAGGAAAGCCCCTCAGCCCTCAAAGGCCCTGAGTAGTATAGGGATTTGCCTGGGGTCCATGTGACTGCACTGTTCCACGGAAGGAGTTCATGCAATATTACATCCCCAGGACCCAATCAACTGCAGCATGACATCATTTTGAGAACAGACCCAATACAAGACAACATTCTGCACCATGGCTTAATAGCCCCTGCATCTCCACATCCCTGGGGTCCCACTAGCATCCTCTCATATCCACCCAGAAGTCTGCAGCATCAGAGCATTAGCTGGACCGAGATGTGCAGTAAATCTGAACCCATGGAGCACTCTAAACCTGGAAGCAGGCATTCCTGCACATCAGACAGTCTGTGCTGAGAACATAGAGAATGGAAATACGCACTCCCCAGAACTTGAGAGCCGCCTTCCTGGGTCCACCACCACAAACAGTTACTCTGTTCCCTTCAGTAATTATATAAATAAAGTTTATAAGCTATTTTTAATTTTTAGTTATTTCTTTATAGTTAAACAGTTAATCTTTCAAGAAAAAAAATGAAATAACTCAGAAAAAAAATCAAAGAGTGAAGAAATCCTATATGACATATGGGACACAATCAAGTGAACAAAACCTCAAATGTTGGGAGTTCCAGAAGGTACAAACATGGCAAAAGGCATAGAAAACCGATTTAAAGATAATAGCTGAAAAGTTCTCATGTCTTCGAAGAGATGAAGACATTCATATGCGGGAAGATCAAAGAATCCCAAATAGACACAACCCAAAATGTCTTCTCGGAGGCACATTATACTCAAATTGTCAAAAGTCAAAGACAAAGAAAGAATTGTAAAAATGTCAAGAGGAAAGCATCAAGTCACATGAATCTCCATCAGATTAACAGCATATTTCTCAGCAAAAACCTCTAGGCCAAGAGAGAATGGGATAATATATTCAAAGCCCTGAAAGAAAAAGAAAAAACTGTCAGGCAAAAATACGATACCTAGCAAAGTTATCCTTCAGAAATGAAAGAGGAATAAAGTCTTTCCCAGAAAAACAAAATCTGAGCAAATTCATTATCACTAGACAGGCCTTTGAGAAATGCTTAAATGCACTTCCTGCATCTAGAAGTGAAAGGATGATATCTCCCATCACGAAAACACACAAAAGTATGAAACTCACTGGAAGAAGCAGATACACAAATGAGAAAAAGAGAGGAATCAAATGTCATCACTATAGAAAGCCATCAAATTGCAAAGATAAGCAATAAGAGAATAAGAAAGGAACAAGGATATACAAAACAATTAAAAGGCAATTAACAAAATAATAAGAAGTAGTTATCAATAACAGCCTTGAAAGTAAACATATTAAATCCCACAATTAAAAGGTTTTTTCCCAAGATGGTGGATTAGAGGCATTGTTAGCATGCCTCTCCTACTTGGAAAGACAAAATAGTGTCTAGACATACACAGTGTGAATTTTTTTCTAGTAAGCAGGCAAGAACTTAACAGGAAAACTGAAAGAAACCACAAACTCTTTGAAAGAAGTGGCAGGCTGCAGCCTACACAATGAGTCAGGCAGAAAACTGTAAGTCCTCAAAGTGTGAGGGGGGATAAACTGCCCCCAAGATATACACTGCGACGTGGGAACCTGACAATACAGGCCGGAGGGGAAGGCCTTAATTCTATCCAGCCCTGAAACTGGTTTAGGGAGTAGTGGGGAACAAAAAATTAGGAGCACCAGCACAAGAGCCTTGCATGCATTCCCAGCCTCCAGTGTGGACGAAGGAAGCCATTCCTGATCCTGCCTCCCAGGGGACCTCACAGAAGTCGGCCAGCTTATTCAGGCAGCAGTCACAGGTTAAGAAAAGCTTCTAACTAAAATTCATGATATTCTCTCGAGTGGGGATGAACTTTCTTTGCCAGAAGTGGGAGGTGAGTGAAAAGCGTGCTGCATCCATGAGTGCAGAAGCTGGGCACCCTGGCTTTGCTGGCAGACTGGGAAGGGCATGGCCTAAATGCCGCAGTTGCTGTCTCTGCCAGAAAGGCTTATGGCCTGGAGCAGTTTTGAGTTCTGAGCACAAACTGCCTGGAACTTAGCTAGCCGCTGCTAGTGGAACACTCTGGGCGTGAGGTTTGCCTTGCCAAGTACGTGGGACTGTGTGGGGCTTATGCCACCTGCTACTCCCCACTCCCTGTGTAAACTCTTCTGTGCAATAGAGGCAGCTGCACCCCTCCCTGGAACATTGTCCTAGTGGCAAGAGAACCACCCTCAACCCCCACAAGAGCCATTGTTTGCCTTGCATGTGGAGAGCCAGCACGTGGACCCGCCTGACCCAGCCTCCACCTGGTTTTGCCCCTCCACCTACCCTGGTAGCTTAACACAAAGGACGGAAACTTTTGGGAATTTTATGGCCCCTCCCATTGCCTGAGACACCACAGTACCCCCTGGGTAACATAAGGCAAGTATAAATCCCACTGCTACTACCGCAGCTGGTGCTCTTTTCCAAGCAACACCTCCAAGCTAGAGGCCAACTGACACAGTCAGTCCATTACAGCAGCTCCAGGAGGAGTAACAGAGCACCCAGGAAGAAGAACACTTGTGTGTGACCTCAGCTATCACCATTTCCCACAGTGTCCTGACTAACCAGTGGGTCCTAGTCTGTCCAGGTGAACAGTTCATTACTACCGTAACCAACATTTGAGAAAGCCAATATACTAAGCCTATTTATAACAAAGGAATCTCAGAGTCTACGTTACTCCCCTGCCACCCTCATCAGAGCTGGTGCTGGTACCCATTGCTGGGAGACTTGGGGACAGGTTACATCACTGATGGCTTTACTGACAAATTCTACCAAACTTTAAAAGAAGAATTAATACCATTTCTACTCAAACTATTTGCAAAAGTTGTAGAGGCAGGATCTCTCCCTAAGTCATTCTATGTGGCCAGCATTGCCCTCATACCAAAGCTAGACAAAGACACAACAAAAAAAGAAAACTACAAGCCAATATCTTGAATGAACACAGATGCAAAAATACTAGCAAACCAATTCCAACAACACAGCAAAAAGATAACACACCATGATCAAGTGGAATTTATCCCAGGGATGCAAGGATGGATTAATACACACAAATCAATAAATGGGATACACCACATGAACAGAATGAAGGACAAAAACCATATGATCATCTCAATAGACTCAGAAGTAGCATTTTACATGATTCAACGTGCCTTCATGATGAAACTGGATATACAAAGAAAATACCTCAACACAATAAAGACCATGTATGACAAATCCACAGCTAACATCATACTTATTAGGAGAAAAACCTGAAAGCCTTTCTTCTAAGAGCTAGAAGAAGACAGAGGTGTCCACTTTCAATACTTTTATTCAGCATAGTACTGGAAGCCCTAGCAAGAGCAATTAGGCGAGGGAAAGAAATAAAGTCCATTCAAATTGGAAAGGAAGAAGTTAAATCGTTCTTGTTTGCAAATGACATAATCTTATAATTAGAAAAACTGAAACACTCCAGCAAAAAAACTCTTGGCACTGATAAATGAATTGAGTAAAGTTTTAAGATACAAAATCAACATACAAACATCAGTAGCATTTATAGATGCCGATAGTGAACAATCTGGAAGAGAAATCAAGAAAGCAATCTCATTTGCAATAGCTACCAAAAATTTAAATAGCAAGGAATAAATTTAGCCAAAGAAGTGAAAAAGTTCTAAAATGAAAACTATAAAAAACTGATAAAAGAAGTTTGAGGACACAAACAAATGGAAAGATTTCTAATGTTTATGGATTGGAAGAATTATTATTGTTAAAATATTCATACTACCAAAAATAATCTATAGACTCAATATAATCCATATCAAAATGCCAGTGACATTCTTCACAGAAATAGAAAAAGAGTCCTAAAATTTGTATGGAACTACAAAAGACCTCACATAGCCAAAGCAATCCTAAGCAAAAAGAACAAAGCTGGAGATATCACACTACCTGACTTCCAAATTTACTGCAAAGCTTTGGTAACCAAACAGCGTGGTAGTGACATAAAAATAGGCACACAGACCAACAGAACAAAATAGAGAATCCCAAAACAAATCCATACATTTACAGTCAACTCACTTTCAACAAAGGCAGCAAGAACATATGTTGGGGAAAGGACAGTCTCTTCAATAAATAGTGCTGGGAAAAATAGATATCCATATGCAGAAGAATGAACTGGATGCCCCATCTCTCACCATATAAAAAATCAAATTAAAATGGATCAAAAACTTAAATATAAGACCTGGAACTATAAAATTACTAGAAGAAAATACTGGGGAAATGCTTCAGGACATTGATCTGGGCAATGGTTTGTTTGTGTAAAACCTCAAAAGCACAGGCAACAAAAGCAAAAATAGATAAATGAGATTATATCAATTCAAAAAGTTTCTGCATAACAAAGGAAACAACAGAGTGAAAAGACAGCCCACACAATGGGAGAAAATATTCGCAAACTAGACATCCAATAGGGAATTTCTGACCAGAATATATAAGAATTTGACTAAACAGCAAAAAAAAAAAAAAAAGACGATTAAAAAATGGGCAAAGAACTGGAATAGACATTTCTCTAAAGAAACCATTTAAATGTTTGAAACATATATGAAAAAATGCTCAGCATCACCAGTCATGGGAGAAATGCAAACTAAAATCACAGTGGGATGTTGACTCACACCTGTTTGAATAGCGATTATCAAAGTGATGAAAGATAGGTGTGAAGGATGTAAAGAAAAGAGAGTTCTTGCACCCTGTTGGTGGGAATGTAAATTAGTACAGTCATTATCGAAAACAGCATGGAGATTCCCCCCAAAATTAAAAATATGACCACCTTATGATTCAGTAATCCTACTCCTGGGTGTATATGCAAAGGAATTTAAATTGGTATATTGAAGAGATATCTGCACTGCCATGCAGCATTATCCACAACAGCCAAGAAATGGAATCAACCCAGGCGCCCGTAAACAGATAAAGAGATAAAGAAAATATTGTATTTTTAGTAGAGATGGGGTTTCACCATGTTGGCCAGGCTGGTCTCGAACTCCTGGCCTCAGATGATCCACCTGCCTTGGCCTCCCAAAGTGCTGGGATTACAGGCATCAGCCAGGCGTGGTGGCCCATGCCTGTTATCCCAGCTACTTGGGAGGCTGAGGCAGGAGAATCGCTTGAACTCAGGAGGCGGAGGTTGCGGTGAGCCGAGATCGCGCCATTGTACTCCAGCCTGGCCGACAAGAGTGAAAGTCTGTCTCAAAAAAAAAAAAAAAAGGAAAGAAAAAGAAAATATTGTATATATACATAAACATTTCTCCGAAGAAAATATTCAACATTGTGTTTGTGTATTTATGTGTGGGTAGACACTATGTATGTATATAGATACACAATGAAGTAGTATGAACCTTTAAAAAAGAAGAAAATCCTGTTATTTGTGACAACGTAGATAAACCTGGAGGACATTATATTAAGATAAATAAGCCAGGCCCAGAAAAAGAAATACTGCATGATCTTATGTATATGTAGAGTCTAGAAAAGTTGAACTAACAGAAGTAAAAAATAGCATGGTGGTCTCCAGGGGCTGAGTATGTGGGAAGTTTGGGGAAATGTTGGTCAAAAGGTAAAAAGTTTGAGTTAGGAGGAATTCGTTTAAGAGATCTATTATACAACCTGGTGACTATAGTTAGTAACAATGTATTGTATTCTTGAAAATTACTGAAACAATAGATTTCATGTGTTCTCATCACAAAAAAGATAAGTATGTGATGTAATGCATATGTTGATTAGCTGTCTATAGCCATTCCACACTGCATACATATTTCAATACAACATCTTACACACGACAGATATATACAATTTTTGTCAATTAAAAATAAAACAAAATAGCTGAGCGCAGTGGGTCATGCCTGTAATCCCAGCCCTTTTAGGGAGGCTGAGGTGGGCAGATCACCTGAGGTCAGGAGTTTGAGACCAGCCTGGCCAACATGGTGAAAACCTGTCTCTACGAAAAATACAAAAATTAGCCTAGCTGGGTGTGGTGGCGGGTGCCTGTAGTCCCAGCTCCTCAGGAGGCTGAGACAGGAGAATCACTTGAACCCGGGAGGTGGAGGTTGCAGTGAGCCGAGATCGCACCACTGCACTCCAGCTTGGGGGACAGAGCGAGACTCTGACTCGAAAAAAAAAATTAAATAAATAAATAAATAAAATAAAATGCCAGAAGAAGAAACAAGTAACTTAGCTATAAGGAAAAACAACCAAAAAGAGAAGCCATAAAGTTTTCCCTGTGGGTACAACACTGGGGTGGGTTGGAAAGGGACACAGTAGTAAGGCATTGGGGTACTATTGCTTTTTATTACAATGCTTTTAAAAATCATGGTTTTGGTTTGGTTTTTTGTGGTGGGGGGGGATTCTGTTTGTTAGTTTGTTTTGAGACAGGGTCTCTCTTTGTCACCCAGGCTGGAGTGCAGTGACGTGATCTCAGCTCACTGCAGCCTCAACCTCCCAGGCTCAAACAATCCTCCTGTCAGCCTCACGAGTAGCTGGGTCCACAGGCATGCACCACCCACCTGGCTAATTTTTTGTATTTTTTGTAGAGACAGGGTTTTGCAATGTTGCCCAGGCTGGTCTCGAACCCCTGGGCTCAAGCAGTCCACCCACCTGGCCTCCCAAAGTTCTAGGATTATAGATGTGAGCCACCGCACCGGACCTAAAAACTCCTTTAAATATTAGTTTGCATCACTTTGATAAAAATACATTTTTAACAGTCAAATGGACTTCTGCATCCCAAGCAGATCTGGGATGTGAAGTCAGGTTTCATGTGTGAGTGACATTGCTGCTCCTTTTTTGTGTGTGAATTTTTTTTTGTTTTTTTCTTTAGTTTTATTTTCTTTTTCTTCCTATTTTGGTCATGTCAGAGAAAAAAACCACAGAATAGCTCAGAAAATTTCACTTTTACCCCCACTTCTTTCCTCCTTTCTCCTTACATCACGCGCACACACACACACACACATGCACACACACACGTCTCTGTATGAACTTGGCTGCCCAAGGCCTTCCTAGCCCTCTCTCCTTTCCTTTCAGAAGTTAATTTTCTGACACCTTCTTCCACAGTGCCCTTTCAGCTATTTTGTTCCTAGACAGTTCACAGCAGTCCATCCTCATATCTCTAATGCCTGGCTCCTGGTAGTTTCTGGGCTTGTATTTATTACTCCCTGAAAAACACACAGGGAGCCTACCAGCATCTCTGCCACTCACCACGTGCTCCTAGACCCTCGGCTCCCTCTGGCCTCCAGACTCAGCTCATCGACTACAACCCTCTCTGCTTCCTCTCCTGAGGTGCCTCAGGAGCCTTGCATCCTTCCCCAGGCACAGTAGGGGGACTTAGCTCCTGACTTGGGCCCCACCATCCTGCTTCCCACTGCTGTCCTAAGGTGGGAAGCTCAGACGGCTGCACCAGGAGGCAGGCCCGGTGTTCCTGTCTGTGGCTGCTTTAGTTTGTTTTAATCATCTTTATAATGAAAACTAACTTGGTGGTGGGGATGTTTTGCAGGGGAATTCGTTATATTGGCACTTATTGTTTCTAGTCGGACTACCATGTTACATTAATGTTAGCTTTATCACCTATTATTCCAAGTTTTCTTATTCATGATTTTAGTCCTTATTTACTTTGGATGGCACAGCTAATGGCATCATTCAATTTTGATTTGTTGAAGATAGTTGTTCTGATACTCAAAGCTACAGAAATTTTTTTAAGTCTTCTGTTTCATTGTCATTTGATGTGAGCTGATACCAGTTGAATCTCTGAAACTCTGTTTCACACACATTTATTTATTTCGACAACCCAACTTCATTTTAAAATAAATGTTGTTTTTTTAAAGCTGCTTTACAAATTTTTGTTTTATTTTGAAACAGTCATATAAACTCCCAGGAAATTGCAAAAATTGTTGAGTCTTGAGTACCCTTCACCAAGCTTTCTCCAATGGTAACAATTTTTTAAAATTAAGGCAATGGCAACATCTTATGTAGCTTTGCTATGGCACAATATTGAAACCAGGAGATTGATATTGATATAAATATGTTAACTAGACTCCAGGCCTGATTCACATGTTAGCAGTTTTTACATGCATTCATTTGTGTGTGTGTGTGTGTGTGTGTGTGTGTGTGCACATGCATGTGGTTCTGTGCAATTTTATTAGATATATAAATTCAAGTAACCACCATCATAAACAAGATACTGTTCCAGAACAAGCACAGTGGCTCAAACCTGTAATCCTAGCACTTTGGGAGGCTGAGGCAGGAGGATCCCTTGAGCCCAAGAGTTTGAGACCAGCCTGGGCAACACAGGGAAACCTCATCTCTACTAAAAATAAAAGTCAAAAAAGTAGCAGGGCATGGTGGCACATGCCTGTGGTCCCAGCTACTCAGGAGGATGAGGTGAGAAGATCGTTCAAGCCTGGAAATTCGAGGCTGCAGTGAGCTATGCTTAAACCACTGCACTGCAGCCTGGGAGATAGACCGAGACCCTGTCTCAAGGAAAAAACATACTATTCCATCACTATTGAAGACCTCCCTCAATGTGCATCTATAAATCACTCTGATATGGTGTGACTCTTGTCCCCACCCAAATCTCATGTCAAATTATAATCCCCATGTGTCAAAAGAGGGACCTGGTGTAAGGTGATTGGGTCATGGGTGTGGTTCCCCCATGCTGTTCTCATGATAGGGAGTGAGTTCCACGACATCTGACGGTTTAAAAGCGTGTGACAGTTCCCACGTTGTTCTCTTTCTCTCCTGCCACCATGTAGGACGTGCTTTGCTTCCCCTTTGCCTTTTGCCATGATTGTAAGTTTCCTGGGCCTCCCCAGCCGTGCAGAACTGAGTCAATTAAACCTCTTTTCTTTATAAGTTACCCAGTCTCAGGTAGTTCTTTATAGCAGTGTGAAAACAGACTAAAACACACACCCTCTCCCCCTTTCCTAATTCCTGGAAACCACTTATTTTTCTTCCTCTCTATAATTTTGTGATTTTGAGAATGTCATATAAATGGAGTCATATCCTATGAACTTGGTGAGATGGACTTTTTTCACTGAATATGCCGCCTACAAGATACATCCAAAATGTTGCATGTATCAATAGTTTGTTCCTTCTTTTTAACCAAGTAGTATTCCATCTACAGCTGCTTTAAGACACACTCTACCAGCACTGGGGAGAAGGGACTGTGGAAGACCCTGTGGATTTCCACTTCAATCACCCTCAAGCTCCCTGGGCTAAGGCCAGAAGGGATTGAACATTGGCAGCTCCTGGGGTGGTCACCTCTTCTCACTCAGCAAATGCTGCATTAAGAAGCACATCCCTCTCCTCCTCTTGACACTGTCCGTACTCAGGTACCTGAGTACCTACAGACTTGGACATTACATAAAATCAATAAAGCAATAGTAGTGTATCAGGCATATCACTGTGATTTTAAAAATGTGACTGTTTATATTATAAAGTGAAAGAAAACAATCTAAAAAGACCACATATTGTATGACTCCAATTATATGACATTCCAGAAAAGGCAAATCTCTGGAAATAGTAAAAAGACCAGTGGTTGCCAGAGGTTAGTGGTGAGGGAAGCATGAATAATAGCAGAGCACAGAGGATTTTTAGGGCAAAGAAAGCATCTGTGTGATGCAGTGATGATAGATCCATGTCATTATCCATTTGCCAAAACCCATGGAATGTACAACACCAAGAGTGAACGCTAATGTCAGCTGCAGACTTTGGGTGATAATGAGGTGTTAACATAGGTTTATTGATAGTTACAATGTTCCATCTTGGTGGGATGTGGACAGTAGGGAGAGCTATGCACCTGTGTGGGCAGAGGGTATATGGGAACTCTTTGTACTTTCCACGTGACTTTTCTATGAACCTAGAACTGCTCTTTAAAATAAAGCATGTATATTTAAATGTGGGCATAGCACTCAAAGGATGAGGTTCGAAGGCCAGGAGCCTTCGCCTTTCTTGTCTTTCACCCTGGCCACGCCTTGGCTGGGCCTCGGGCTGCTCACCTGGATCTTCTGGATGTTCTCTCTGTCCAGACTCTCCACCATGGAATCCACCACCTTCTGCACCCACAGCTGCTGTGTGACGACCCTTCACTGCCTGCCCGAAGAGTTGATTTTTGACTGTCATGGAGCGCCTGATGCGTGGATGCACCACGGTTTGTTTATCTGCTCATCTGTTGTGAGTATCTGGGCTGTCTCCACCTTTCACCTATTCTGAATGAGGCTTCTATGAATATTGAGGTACAAGGCTTTGTCAAGACATGCAGTTCCTTTTCTCTTGGTGAATACTTAAGAGTGGGATGGCTGGACCATACGTTAGGTGACTGTTTACTTTTAAAGAAACTGCCATACAGTTTTCCAAAATAGTTTTTACATTTTTACACTCTTTTACATTCCTATCAGCAGGGTGTGAGTTTCAGTTTCTGCACATTGTGGCCAACACTGGGTATGATCATTCTGTGTAATTTTATTACCACTCCAATAGGTAGGAATGGTATCTCATTGTTTTAATTTGAATTGTCTCAATTACTATGATGTTGAGTATCTTTTCATGTGCCTGTCATCTGTGTAGCTTCTTTGCTCACAGATGTAATTTTTTCCTGCATCTATTGAAATGATCGTATAGTTTTCTTTTTCAGTTTGTTAATGTGGTTAATTAAACTGGTTGATATTTGAATATTAAGCCACATATGAGAAAAAACATATTTAGTAGTGATGTATTATTCTTTGAATGTATTGCTGGATTCAGTTTGCTAAAATTTTAATTAGAATATTTGTGTCTAAGTTCATGGGGGATATGGACGTGTAGTTTTCCTTTCTTTTCTTGTAATGTCCTTGTCTGGTTTTGGTATGAAAGTAATGCGGGCTCTATAGAATGCAATGGAAGTGCCACCTTCCCTCTGGCTCTGGCACAGAGCAGGTGCCTGTTTCATGGGTGATTTGAAGTAGGGAACAATAAATTCATGTGAAATAAACAAGCAAAGACCTTACTGAAAGTGTAATATAATGAACAAACCATTAGGATACACTCTGTCATCAATAAGATCTAAGCATTATTCACATTCCTTGTCTACTTAATCTACACCACAGCCTGTGAGATGGGAATTCCTGACGGTTCTTCACCTGAGAGGTGGTATTTCAAGATCACTTAGCCAGATGGAGTGAGAGCAAACTAAATGTAATGTCAGCCTTCTTCCCTCCCAGCTCAGGGCAGCCATGACACCTGACTCCCATGTGGACAGGCCAGTCCCCCTTCATCTGGAAGCCACCTTGGCCGGCTGCTGCGGGACTTTGGATCTGGGAGAGAGACCTTAATATCCCTAAAGAAGAATGTGGGATGTGATTCATCCTACATTTCACCCCTGGGGAGGAAGGGCGTGGTTGCCTGTGAGGAGGACTCACTGTTGCTTGTCTCTGGGATTGCAGAGGCCCTTTGCCAAGAGGCCTCTTTCTCTGATTCCTGGGTGACTGGGCAGATGACTATGGGAGTTCCATTTTGCTCATTATAGGACGGATACTCAATGTAGGGCCTCAATAAGCCTTCAAACCGACATGTCAGGGTATAAATAAGGGACTGGTCATTTATGTTGAAGAAGGAGATGGTCCCACACTCATAGTCCAGGAAGACCCCTATTTTTGTAGGTGGGGTCCTGGGGAAGACGCTGATAAAACGGGGATTTAATGTGAAATACAAATGTTCTCCATTCAGTCTGAGGACCCAGTACCCATGATCGGGAGACAAAGTCACGTACTCCTTCCTCCTGTCCACATCATCCCGGCACACTCCCACGCGCCACCTTTTATTGTGTCCTCCGTCCACCTCCCAGTAATGTTTCCCTGCTTGGAAACTCTGAGAAGCCACCACACTCTTCCTTGTAAATCTCTTCTCAGAGTGAGGCACCTCCTGGGGAGCTTTTCTATGGGTTACAGTTTTCAGATCAGAAACGCAGAGCTTCGGGTGAGCCGTCTCTGGATCCAGAGTCACCTCCACTGGGGTGCGGTGGGGGAGAGAGGAAGCATGAGTTACTGAAGACGAAATCTGGGCTGGAGCAAGAGGTCGACCCTCCCACTGCAGACTGGCTCTGGGTGGCATAGGTGAGGCCCCGGACCTGAGCCTCCCGCAGACACTGCCTTTCAGGTCCTCTCATCACCAGTGCAGCCTGGAGGACTCATCAATGTCTAGATATGTCTCAATATGACGTCCCAATCTCGGCATATCACCCAACCCTGCCACTGTCCCTTCATACATAAAACTATTTGATTCATAAGAGCTGGAGGGACCCCACTATCTAACTTCCTCCCACTCAGAATTTTCTGCCTGACTTTACTTCCTTCCCCTCAGCTCAGACCCCTGACCAGTCACTAGTGCCCTCAATTCCCTGAAACTGTGCCAAAGACCCCCCCGTCTCCCGTTTACCCAGCCCCTGTCTTCTCCCCTTCTAGACCAAGGGAAAGAAGTGTGTCTGGGGGCACTGAACCCTTGGGGGCGATCAAGCATCCAGTTTCTCCATCTGCAGGCAGGATGGGTCTCAGCATCACTCTGTGTTCCCGTATCTGTCCCTGTTCAGTTCCCCCTCTCATGTCCACCTGAGATTCTGTCCCACTGTCACCCTCTCAGGCGTTGGTACCTGCGTGTTTCCGGGCGTCTCTCAATTCTGAAAGCAAGCAGACAGAGCAGGCAGTTCAGTGCTCACGTGGGAAACAGGGCGCAGGGAGAAGGGAAAGACCAAGGATTGGGACCCTTTTTGAGTGTTGTGGACCCTCCAGAGATCCGAAGAAGGCTATGGGGCTTCTCTACAAAATGCACCTCCCCCAGAATCTGCAATTTCAGAGTTCCCATCACAAGCTTGGCTCTGCAGGGACCCACGGGCCTCAGGATATAAAAATCCATAAACGAGAGACTTGGAAAGGAGTCATAAATGTGTGAAGAGGAATATTTTCTTTTACCTGCCTGTCCGTGCTTTCTTCTCCAGTCTGAAAAACAAAAACAAAAACAAAAAACATGTAAGAGGCTGACGTCACAGAGCGGGGGCCCAGGGAGGGCGTGGGAGGGAATCCCTGCGAGTGGTAACACTCTCACCCAGTTTATCCTGGAGTTCCCACAAAACAAAAAGCAGACTATTTAGTGGTTGATACAGAACTGGATAAAGTCTCAAAGCATCAGGCCAGGGGAGGTCGAGGATCACCCACAAATTTTTCTCAGGTTCCTCACTGTGGCCCAGACACCCTCAGAGCTCATGATCAACACCTTCCCCCACCACACACACAGCAAACCAACGGGCAACAGGCACAGACAATTTGTGGGGACTTCCAGGCCCCGGGGCCTATCCTAAGCCCTCCAGATGTCCGAGGGGTAACTCATGAGCAGTGGATGGAGAGAGCGAGCAGCTGCTCTCCTCCACCTGCCGGTGCTTCCTGTCCAGCCTGCAGCCAGGGTCGTCCAGAGGCTCAAACTGTGGATCAGGGAGGGACCCGGGAGAACCATGTGTGGGAGGCTCAGGACATGACACATACTTACCCAGTTCCGCCTGGATTTTCCCTGAAACAGAAACAGTATATTCAGTGGTGGACACAGGAGTGTACAAGGCACAAACACGACGCTGGCTCCTTGCACAGGTGGGACGAGCTGCAGGTGTGAAGGGCAGGGCCTCTCCTAGGACACTTATATGTGCTCGTCTCCCCAGCTCCTGCACGGAGTGTGGCTCTCTGGGGTGGAGCAAGAGATCAGGAAGGTGCATGCTAAGGAGAGGGACAACAGCTGGGATGCTGTGGAGGTGGGGATGGAGATGGGAGAAGGCAGCTGGGAGGGGAGGCGGGGGTGGCCTCACCCCCAAGGGGAAGTGTCACTCCCAAGGAGGAGGAAATTGGTTTTGGGGGTGAAAAGTCTTATTGAGACTGAATATAATTTTATCTTATTGTCAGTCACTTTTGCTTCCTCCTTTATGAATTTGTTCACCACATTAAAACTTTTTAATAGGAGTCTTGGTGGTGTTCATGGAAAATTATCCAAGCTCTCTCTATAGGTACTGAAAATCATTCATCCCCTTATTATTTGACCTAAATGAAGTAGCAAGGGGCTGTCGTAGTTGATATTTCCAGAGGAAGAGATGTTAGAATACCCTAGAGAAGGATGATTACTTTTTTGGGCCTGGGCCCCTGGAGGCTAGGACTAGAAGAAGAGAAGCAGCTGGATGTGGGAGCATCTCTGATCCTGTCCCTGCTGGAACCATGAATAAGGCACCGGCCCATGCTTCTCTCTCTCGCTTACACTGGAATTTGGAGAAGAAAATCTTCAGTCCAACAATGCCAAAAAATAGGCCACAGCAGAGTATTCCCAGTACTTTGGTAGCCAGGTGCCACGATATAGGCTCGAAAAAGGTATCTGAAAAACAATCCCACAGACATTTTAGTTATTGGTGAACAAAAGACACAATTCAATTCTTCTTTAAGGAGTCACCTTGTTCCCCACAATGGAAGAAATAGGTTTCTATAAATTCTCCTATAGGCTTAATACTTTGATTGTACTTTTGTTATAAAATGAGGTAGTGGTTCTATTTAATTTTCTTCTCAACAGATAACGACTGTGCCAACATTTATTGAATGGACATTCCTTTACACACTGATACGTGCAGCATCACCTCTGACCCAATAAGCTTTCTGTTTAGGTTTGGATTTGTTTCTGGGCTCTCTGCTCTGTGTCATTTGTCTACTTGTCCACTTTTGTGCCAATAATTTTGAGTGGCTTAATCACCACAGTTCCGGGATATGTCTTGGTATAAACTAGACTAAGTTTCCTCACTTCTTATTCAGTTGTGCCTTGGCAACTTTGCTCTGCGACATAAATTTTTGTATTGACTTGTCAAGTTCTAAGAAAATTCTGCTGAGATTTTGAATGGAATTGTATTGAATCTATAGATCAATTCAGAGAGAACTGATGTCTTAAAATATTTGCATCTTGTCTGAAAAACTATCTCTTCCCTCCTTTTATTACTATTATTTAAATTGACAAATCACATACATATTAATGGGTACGGTGTGACTCTTTGATACATGCCTACAATGTGGAATGATTAAATCAAGCTAATTAAGACATCCATCATCTCCCTTACTTATCATTTTTATGATGAGACATTTAAATTTTATTCTTTCTGTTATTCTGAAATATACAATATATTATTGTTAACTACAGTCACCCTGTTCTTCAGTAGACTTCAAAACATATTCCTCTTGTCTATCTCAATCTTTGCACCCTTTGACCAACAACTCCCCATTCTCTCTTGCCCTCTGCCCCAGCCTCTGGTAACATTCTACTCTCTATTGTTATGAGTTCAACTTTTTTAGCTTTGACATATATCAGATCACAAGAGATTCATCTTTCTGTGCTTGGCTTATTTCACTTAGCATAATGTCCTTCAGGTTTATCCTCGGAGTTGCAAACGACAAAATGTCCATCCTTTTTTTAAAGGCTAAATATTGTATTCCATTGTATTTATAGATCACATTTTCTTTATCCATTCATCTGAATGATGGACACTTAGACTGAATTTAGCAATTGTGAGTAATACAGCTATTCCATCAACATATTGATTACAATCCATTTTCATATATTCCCACAAGTAGGACTGCTGAATCATAGAGTAGTTCTATTCTTAGTTTTTTAAGAAAACTCCATACAGTTTTCCATAATTGCCATACTAATTTACATTCCCACCAATAATGTATGAGTTCCTTTTCTCAGCATCCTTGCCAACACTTATCTTTAATCTTTTTGATAATAGCCATTCAAAGAGGTGTAAGGTGATATCTCATTGTGGTTTAATTTGCGTTTCCACAATGATTAGAGATGCTGAGCATTTCTTCATGTACCTGTTGTCCATTTATTTATTTATTTATTTATTTATTTATTAATGTTTATTTTATGTACAAAGAGCTATCATGGTTTTTCATTGCGTAGATGCCTTGGATAATCCATTCAAGGAAGAGCACTTAGTTCAACTTAATGAAACATATGTCCTTTGCGTGCTGATGGAAACACTGCCAGCACATATTGAGGCCATATTTCCGGATCAGACTCGACAAGAGCAAGAACCCTGACCGAATTTTCATGAGTGGCTCCAGTACAGCTGCTGGTGACCCATCTTGCTCTCAGGAGTGCAACTAGGTGAAAGAAGAGAGTTAGCGCAAGCCTACACTCTCCCTGTTGTCCACTTAAATGTAATTTTGAGAAATGTTTGTTCAGGTCCTTTCCCCTTTTTTAAGATCAGGTTATTTGTTTTCTTTCTATTGAGCTGTTTGAATTTCTTATATATTTTGGTTATTAACCCTCTATCAGCTGTTTGGTTTGCAAATATTTTCTCTCACTCTGTGGGTAGTCCTTCACCTTGTTAACTGTTTTCTTTGCTGTACAGAAGCTTTTTAGTTTGATGTAATCCCATTTGTCTATTTTTGCTTTTTTGTCTGTGCTTTTTATGTCATATTCAAAAAAATTATTGCCAAGATCAATGTCATGGAGCTTTGCCCATATATTTTCTTCTAGCAGTTTTATAGTTGCAGGTCTTATGTTTAACTTTTTAATCTGAGTTCGTTTTTGTACATGGTGTGAGATAAGGGTTCAATTTCACACATGTGCATGTGGATATCCACTTGTTTCAATATCATTTATTGAAGAGACTGTCCTTTCTTCATCCTGTGTTCTTGGCACCTTTTTCAAAAATCAATTGTTCATAAACACATGGGCGTACTTCCAAACTTTCCATCCTGTTCCATTGAGTGATGTGTCCGCTTTTGTGCCAGCCCCAGGACGTTTTAATTATAATCACTTTATATTTTGAAATCAGAGTATTGTGACTCTAACTTTGTTATTTTTGCTCAAGATTGCTTTGGCTATTTGAGATCTTTTGTGATTCCATATGAATTTAAGGATTCCTTTTTTCTTTATCTGTGAAAAGTGACGTTAGAATCTTGAGAGAGACTGTATTGAATCTGTAAATAGCTTTGGGTAGTATAAACATTTTAACAATGCTAATCCTTCCAATCCCTGAACATGGAATATATTTCCTTTATTTGTGTTCAGTTTTTTAAGTTTTATTTTACTTTGTATTGATGTAATAATTGTTCATATTTACAGGGTACAAAATGGTGCTTTGATATATGTGTACAATATGTAATGATCAAATTAAGGTATCACCTAAAACATTGATCATTTAAGGTGAGAACATTCAAAATCCTCTTTTCTAGCTATTTTGAGATATGTAATATGTTATTGGTAATTATAGTTACCCTACTGTGCAATAGAAGACTGGAACTTATTGCTGCTATTTAAATATAATTTTGTACCTGATCAACCTCTCCTCATCCCCTGCAATCCCTCTACCCTTACCAGCCTCTAGTAACCACTATTCCACTTTCTACTTCTATGAGATCAGCTTTTTAAAAGAATTTTAATTGCCTCATAATAACTGTACATATTTATGTGGTACAATGTGATGTCGTGATACATGTATACATTGTGTAATGATCATTTCCATCACCTCAAACACTTGTCGTGTCTTTGTGGTGAGAACATTCAAAATCCTCTCTTCTAGCTATTCTGAAATATACTATACATTCTTGTTAACTATAGTCACTTTGCTATGCAACAGGACACCAGAACATTTTCTTCCTATCTAATTGTAACTTTGTATGCATTGGCCAGTCTTTCTCCATTCCTCCCTCTACCCTATCCCCAGCTCCACCAGTCTCTGGTAACCCCTACTTCTCTACTTCTATGAGATAAACTTTTTGGATTCCATATGTGGGTGAGATCATGTGATATTTGTATTTCTGTGTCTGGCTTAATTTACTTAATGTCTTCTAGATTCTGTACCTCTATGAGATCCATTTATTGGATTCCACTTATGGGTGAGATCATGTATGGTTTAATGTAACTTAACGTAGTGTCTTCTAAGTTCATCCATGTTGTTGCAAATAATAGGATTTCACTCTTTTTATTACTGAATAATATTCTATTTTGTATATACATCATATTTGCTTTTCATTAATTTGTTAATAAACACTTAGGTTGATTCCATATCTTAGCTATTGTGAATAGTGCTGAAATAAACATAGGAGTGCAGATTTCTTCAACATGTTGATTTTCTTTCTTTTGGGTATACTCAGTACTTTGATTGCTGGATCTATGGTAGTTTTGTTTTTAATGTTTTGAGAAATCTCCATAGTGTTTTCCATAATGAACACACTAATTGAAAATCCCACCAATGGTGTGTAAGTGTTCCTCTTCTCCACATCAACAATTGTTATCTTTTGTCTTTTTGATAATAGCAATTTTAACTTGAGTAATGTTTTATCTCATTGTAGTTTTGATTTGCATTTCCCTGATGACTAGTGATACTGAACAGATTTTTATATATCTGTTGTTCATTTGTATGTTTTCTTTTAAGAAATGTATATAAGGTCTATCATCCTGGCCAGGCACGGTGGCTCATGCCTGTAATCCCAGCACTTTGGGAGGCTGGATGGATCACCTGAGGTCAGGAGTTAGAGACCAGCCTGGCCAACCTGGTGAAACCCCGTCTCTACTAAAAATATAAAAATTAGCTGGGTGTGGTGGATGGTGTCTGTAATCCCAGCTACTCGGGAGGCTGAGGCAGGAGAATCACTTGAACCCAGGAAGCTGAGGTTGTAGTGAGCCAAGATTGCGCCATTGCACTGCAGTCTGGGCGACAGAGCGAGACTCTGCCTCAAAAAAAAAAAAAAAAAAAAAAGTCTATCTTCCCTTTTGTGATTGGATTATTTGGGTTTTTTCACTCTTGAGTTGTTTGAGTTCCTTATATCCTGGATATGAATACCTAGTCAGATGTATAGTTTGCAAATATTTTCTCCCATTCTGTAAGTTACCTCTTCACTCTGTTAATTATTTCCTTTGTTGTGCAAAAGCTTTTCAGTTTGATATAATCACACTTGTCTGTTTCTGCTTTTATTGTCTGTGGTTTTGAAATCACATAAAAAAAAATTATTGCCCAGTCCAATGTCCTGAAGCATTTTTCCTATGTTTTCTTCTAGTAGCTTTATAGTTTCAGGTTTTACATTTTAGCCTTTAATTCATCAAGAGTTTATTTTTATATATGGTGAGAGATAGGGGTTAGTTCATTCTTCTGCATATTGATACTAGCAAATGCAGCACTATTTTTTGAAGAGACTCTTTTCTCTAATATATATTCTTGGCACCTTTCTCAAAAGTGAGCTGACTGTAAATATGTGGATTTATATCTGGGTTTTGTATTCTGTCTCATTCTTCTGTGTGTCTGCTTTTATGCTAGTACCACGCTGTCTTGGCTAGCATGCTTTTGTAGTGTATTTTGAAGCTCCATAGTGTGATACTTCCAGCTTTGTTCTTTTATTCAGTAATGTTTTGGCTGTTTGGAGTCTTTTGTGGCTCCATATGAATTTTAGGATTTTGGTTTTTATTTCTTTAAAGAATGTCATTGGTATTTTGATAAGGATTGCATTGACTCTGTAGATCACTTTGGGTAGTGTGGTCATTTTACCAATCTTAATTCTCTTACATCAGGAACATGGGGTATCTTTTCATTTGTTTGTGTTCCCTTCAGTTCTTTTCATCAATGTTTTGTAGTTTTTATTGTATAGATCTTCACCTCCTTGGTTAAACTTATTCCTTGGTATTTTATTTTGTTGTAGCTATTGTAAATGATACTGCTTTCTTGATTCTTTTTCAACTAGTTTGTTATTGGTGTGTAGAAACACTACTGAATTTATATGTTGATTTTGTATCCTGCAACATTACTGAATTTGTTTATCAGTTCTAAGAGGTTTTTTTGATGGAATCTTTAGTTTTTTTATATAAAGATCATGTTGTCTGCAAACAGGGACAATTAGACTTTCTCCTTTCCAATTTAGATGCCATTTATTTTTTGCTCTTGCCTGATTGCTCCGGCTAGGACTTCCAGTACTTTGTTGAATAAGAGTAGTAAAAGTGGGCATCCTTGTCTTGTTCCAGTTCTTATTGAAAAGCTTTCAACTTTTCCCCATTCTGTATGATGTTAGCTGTGAGTTTGTCATATGTGACCTTGATTGTGTTGAGGTACATTTCTTCTACATCTAAACTGTTGAGAGTTTATATCATGCAGGATGTTGAATTTCATCAAATATTTTTTAATGTCTATTGAGATGATCATATACTTTTTGGTCTTCATTCTGTTGATGTGATATATCAAATTTATTGATTTCCATATGTTGAACCATCCTTGCATCCCTAGAATCAATCCCACTTAATCATGGTGTATATTCTTTTTGATATGCTATTGGATTTGGATTGCTAGTATTTTGTTGAGAATTTTTGCATCTATGTTCATAATGAATATTGGCCTGTAGCATTCTCCTTTTTGTTGTATTCTTTTCTGATTTTGGCATCAGGATAATACTGTCCTCATGGAATGAGTTTGGAAGAATTCCCACCCCTTCAACTTTTTGTAATACTTTAAGAAGAGAAGGTGTTAGTTCTTTAAAAGTTTAATAGAATCCAGCAGTGAAGTCATCTTGTTTTGGGCTTTTGTTTGTTGGGATACTTCCTACTGCTGATTCACTCTTGTTACTCATTATTAGTCTGATTAGGTTTTCTAGTTTTTCCTGACTCTATTTTAGTATGTTCCATGTGTTTATGAGTTTATCTACTTCTTTTACATTTTCCAACTTGTTGGCATATACTAGTTCTTTCTTTCTCTCCTTCCTTCCTTCCTTCCTTCCTTCCTTCCTTCCTTCCTTCCTCCCTTCCTTCCTCCCTCCCTCCCTTCCACCTCTTTCTTCTTGCTGTGTTTCCCAGGCTGCATCTCAATCTCGGCTCACTGCAGCCTCTGCCTCCCAGGTTCAATGATTCTCAGCCTCAGCCTCCTGAGTAGTTGGGGCTACAGGTGCATGCCACCAAGCCCAGCTAATTTTTATGGGTTTTTTTTGTTGTTATTGTTGTTTTTTTGTAGAGACAGGGTTTCACCACCATGTTGGCCAGGCTGGTTTCGAGCTCCTGACCTCAAGTGATTTGCCTGCCTTGGCCTCCCAAAGTGCTGAGATTACAGGCATGAACAATTGTGCCCCGTGGCATATAGTTCTTAATAGTCTCCAATGATCCTTTGTATTTCTCTATTTCTCTGGTATCAGTTGTAATGCCTCCTTTTGGTTTCTGATTTTCTTTATTTGGATCTTCTCTCTTTTTTTCATAGTTATTCCAGCTAAGGGTTTGTCAATTTTATCTTTTCAAAACACAAACTCTTATTTTGTTGGTCTTTTGTCTTATAATTTTGGTCTTTATTTCATTTATTTCTCCTCTGATATTTATTATTTATTTCCTTCTACAAAATTTGGGCTTTGTTTCTTCTTGCCCTTCTAGTTTCTTGAGGCTAATTGTTTGGAGTTTTTTCTACTTGAAATATTTATACTTTTTATGATGTAGGCATTTATTGCTATAAACTTACCTCCTAGTACTGCTTTTACTATATCCCATATGTTTTGGTATCTTGTGTTTCTTTTTTTTTTTTTTTCCTCTGAGATGAAGTCTTGCTCTGTCGCCCAGGCTGAAGTGCAGCAGCATGATCTCAGCTCACTGCAACCTCTGCCTCCCTGGTTCAAGAGATTCTCCTGCCTCAGCCTCCCGAGTAGCTGGGATTAGTGCCACCATGCTCAGCCAATTTTTTGTATTTTTAGTAGAGATGGTGCTTCACCATGTTGGTCAGGCTGGTCTTGACCCCTTGACCTCGTGATCTGCCCACCTCAGCCTCCCAAAGTGCTGGGATTACAGGCATGAGCCACTGTGCCCAGCTGGTATGTTGTATTTATATTTTCATTTGTTTTAAGGAGTTCTTTAACTTTGTTTTTAATTTCTGCATTAAGCCAATGGTTGTTCAGAAGAATGTCGTTTAATTTCCATGTATTTGTACAATTTCCAGTGTTCTTGTTATTGATTTCTTGTTTTATTCTATTGTGCCCTGAAAATATATTTGATATAGTTTTTATTTTAAAAAAAATTGTTGAGGTTGTTTTGTGGCCTAACATAAAATGTATCCTGCAGAATATTCCATGTGCTGATGAGAAGAATGTGTATTCTGCAGCTTGTGGATAAAATGTTATGTAAATATCTGCTAGGTTCATTTGGTGTATAGGGTACAATAAATCCAATGTTACTTTGTTGATTTTCTGTCTAGATGATCTGTCCAATGGTGAGTGTGGGGTGTTGAAGCCCCCAGCTTCAACAGCTAGACAGTTCAGCTAGACATTACATTAATTAATGTATTGGGATCTACCTTTCCCTTTAGATCTAGTAATATTTGCTTTATGAATTTTGGTGCTTTTGTATTGGGTTCATATATATTTACAATTGCTATATCCTCTTGTTGAATTGACCCCTTTATCATTAAATAATAATCTTCTTTGTCCCTTTTTACAGTTTTTGACTTAAAATCTATCTTATCTAATATAAGTATAGCTATTCTTGCTTGTTTTTTTTTCCTTTTGTGTGGAATACCATTCATCATCCCTCAATTTCAGTCTTTGTGTGTCTTTACAAGTGAAGTGAGTTTCTTCTGGGCACCATATAATGGGATCTTTTTTCATTTATTCATTCATTCATTCATTCAGCCAATCTATATATTTTAATTAGGGAATTTAAACTATTTACATTCAAGGGTATTGTTGATGAGTGAGGACTTATTCCTGTCATTTTGTTAACTTTTTGTTCATTATTTTGTATATCCAAGTTTGATTCTTCCTCTCTTATCATTTCCCTTTGCCGTTTGATGGATTACTATAGTGATAAAATTTGATTCCTTTCTCTTTCTCATTTTCATATCTATTCTTCCAGTGAGTTTTCTACCTTCAGGTGTTTTCATATGGTAGTTATCATCCTTTCCCTTCCAGACATAGGACTCCCTTGAGCATTTCTTGTAAGACTGATCTAGTGGTGATAAATTCCCTCAGTTTTGCTTATCTAAAAAATATCTTTTTCTTCTTTATTTCCGAAGAATATCTTTGCTGGCCATCATGTCTTAGTTGGCTTTTTTTCCCTTCCAGCACTTTGAACATAGTATCCCTTTCTCTCTTGGCCTGTAAGATTTCTGTTAAGAAATCTGCTGTTACCATCCTGACCAACATGGCGAAACCCCGTCTCTACTAAAAATACAAAAATTAGCTGGGTGTGGTGGTGCGTGCCTGTAATCCCAGCTACTCGAGAGGCTAAGGCAGGATAATCACTTGAACTAGGGAGTCAGAGGCTGCAGTGAGCCGAAATCGTGCCAGTGGATTCCAGCCTGGCGACAGAGCAAGACTCCATCAAAAAAAAAAAAAAGAAAGAAAGGAAGGAAGGAAGGAAGGAAGAAGGAAAGAAATCTGTTGTTAGTCTGATGGGAATTCTCTTGTACGTAGCATGACACTTTTATCTTGCTCATTTTAGAATTCTCTGTTTGTCCTTTTGACAATTTGACTAAAATGTGCCATGTAGAGGACCTTTTTGTGTTGAATATTTTGGAAACTTTTAAGCTTCCTGGAACTGGATGTCCACATCTCTTCCAGGACTTGCAAAGTTTTCAGCTATTATTTTATTAAATAGGTTATTTACACCATCTCTCATCTCTTCTTCTGAAACTCACATAATATGAAAATTTTTTCACTTAATGGTATTTCATAAGTCCTGTATACTTTCTTCATTCTTTTTTCTCTTTCTTTTTTTCATCAGACTGGGTTATTTCAAAATACCTGTCTTCAAGTTCAGAAATTCTTTCTTCTGATTTATCTCCTGTATAAATTTGAAAGGAATCAAATTTTATCACTATAGTAATCCATCAAATGGCAATGTTTTTATTTCATTCATTGAATTCCTTAGCTCCAAGATTCCTGTTTAGCTCTGTTTTGTAGTATCTGTCTCTCTGTTGAATATTTCTTTTTTTTTTTAAATGGGGAAAGGGGCTTTTAAAAAGTATTTCATTTAGATGAAAAATTGTTTTCCTGATTTTGTTAAATTCTCCATTTCTAGTCTCTTGTGTCTCACTAAGTGTTCTTAAGATCATTATTTTGAACTCCTTTTCAGGCATTCATAGATTTTATTTTCCTTGGAGTCTGTTACTGAAGAATTACTGTGTTCCTTTGGAGGTGTCATATTTCCTTGGATTTTCATGTTTCTTGGGTTCCTACATTGATATCTGCAAATTTGGTGGAACAATAACCTCTTCCAATTTTATGGAATAACATTATATATAAACCACCTGTTAGTTTTGTTGATGTTTTCTTCTGTTTTTCTACTCTCTATTTCTGCTCTAATTTTTGTTATTTCAAACATTTTCAACTTGGGGCTTCTTTTTTTTATTTTTCTAGTTCCCTGAGGTGGAAACTTTTATAGGCAAAGATGTTTTCCTGTAGATGAGTCCTATGGTGTTGGTTGGATACGTGGGTGCTGTATTATATTAATAATTTCCATGTAACTGCTTCAGCTGTAATCAACATTGGAAGTACCTTCAAGTGTGTCAATGTTGTAGGCTGTGTGTAGTTTTGGAGGCAATGGCACAGCTTTGCAGGGAGCTGGGGCCACCAGCTAGGCTGGTTTTTAGGCAAGGGCAGTGCACACCAAACATGACAGCTCCACTGGTCACTTGGTCCCAGGGGTGTACCAGTCGAGGAGGCAAGGTTACTAGAGGTGCCAGGTGCTGAGTGGGCCAGTACCTGGAGTCCTAGACGATGCACGTAGCATGCAGCAGCTCTGCAAGTAAATGAGATATGGCCACCATCAGTGGTGGACACCAAATGGGCTGTTCCTGAGACTCCTGGGGGGCTGCGTGCAGCATGTAGTCACTCTGCCAATCAAGGATATGAAGTCATGGCAGCAGGTGCTGAGTGCGCCAGTCCTTGGAACCCTGGGGGATGCAGGCAGTGTGTGGTGCCTCCACTGTTCCAGGGGGTGGTATTTCTGGTGGGAGCAGATGCTGGGCAGGCTAATTCCCAATTCCTGGGGAACATGTGTGGTGTACAGCACCTCTGACAGTTGAAAGTTTCGGCTCACTGGTGGTCTGGTCACATGTGACTCCACAAGTCCTTAGATCACTGGAGTCACATGTGGCAGGCAGCAGCTCCACCAATCAAGTGGTCAGGGTCACTGGTTGAGGGGATGGAGTGGCCAGTGGCAAGCTTCAGCTGTGTTCGTCCACAATTCCTGCAGAGCACACTACGGCAAGCGGCAGCTCTGCTAGTCAAGGACATCAAAACAATATTAATTCTTCCAATTATGAACACAGGATAGTTTTCCATTTGCTTGTGTTTTCTTCAATTTCTTTAATCAGTGTTTTATAATTTTCCATAATTTTAACCAGGTCTTTCATCTCTGGTTAAATTTATATCTAAGTACTTTTTTGTTGCTATTGGAATTGTTTTCTTAATCTTTTTCAGATAGTTTTTCATTAGTGTATAGAAATGAAACTGATCTTTGTATGTTGATGTTGTATCTTTCAACATTACTAGACTTGTTTACCTTTTCCAATACTTTTTTGGCTAAGTCTTTAGGATTTTCTATATATAAGATGATGTTATTACTAAATAGAGACAATTTTACTTTTTTCTTTCCAATGTGGATACCTTTTCTTTCTTTCTTTTGCCTAACTGTGCTGGTTAGGACATCCAGTACTATGTTAGAAAGAAGTGCCGGGGCGGTGGCTCACGCCTGTAACCCCAGCACTTTCGGAGGACAAGGCAAGCAGATCACAAGGTCAAGAGATCGAGACCATCCTGGCCAACATGGTGAAAACCTGTCTCTCCTAAAAATACAACAAAATTAGCTGGGTATGGTGGTGTGTGCCTGTAGTCCCAGCTACTCGGGAGGCTGAGGCAGGAGAATCACTTGAACCCAGAAGACGGAGGTTGCAGTGAGCTGAGATCATGCCACTGCACTCCAGCCTGGCGACAGAGCAAGACACCAAAAAAAAAAAAAGTTATAAGAATGGGCATTCTTGTATTGTCCCTGATCTAGCAGGAAAAGTGTTCCACTTTTCATGTTTAAGTATGATGTTGATAACAGTGGCAGCCTGTCTGGAGCAGTTGCTGTGAAGATGCTGGCTGCAGCAGGGGAGGTGTGGCTGGGGCCATGTGCTCCATGGAGCCAGGTGGGGCTGGGAGGGGGCTGGGAATGGGGGGAGCCCCACTCTCTACCAAGTCCACGGGGCAGGAGTCCTGTGCTCTGGGGCACAACTGCAGTCACCCAGCCGCAGCTCCAGACCCAGGCATCACTGTGCTCTCGGGGCCCTGGAAACCCTCTCTGCCCCTGCAGGCTCAGAAGTGCCTGCTTCTGCTTCCTACCCTCTCCCTGCTCCTGGTGTCCACTCCAGTGCAAAGCAAAGTTGTAGCCGAGTCCGGGCACTGTTGTGCCCAGCCAGGTATGCATGTGCTGGAGGCAGTGCTGACATGACAGCTTCTGCCTCCTCAGCTCCTTCTGGACTTTGAGCACCAGTGAGCACAGGAGGGAGGACGATGGCTGAGGGCAGCTCTGCACAGGTCTGCAGGTCCAACTCAGCATGAACAGCCCAGGTACCATGGATGGCATGTTGATGGTGGAAGGGAAACAGGTTCCTGGGTGGAAAGGGGCAGGTCCCTAACTACCTTCAAGCCAGGGATGACCTGAAGCCTGGGGGCTGGGCTGCCAGTTCCGGGTGGAGTCCACTGCCTGGAGTCAGAATTTATGGTGCTTTTTCCCAGCCACCCATGGCCATCCATGAACCAATCAGCATGCACTCCCTTCCTTCTGGGCCCATAAAAACCCCTAGACTCAGACAGACATCAGGACTATGAAGTGAGAAGCAGGAAGGAGCTACCCACTTGTTGGGATGACCTGCCTGCAGAAAGGAGCTACCCACTTCAGGTCTCCTGAGAATTGTTCTGTTGCTCAATAAAGCTCCTCACTGCCTTACCCTCCAGTTGTCTGTGTACCACATTCTTCCTGGATATGGGACAAGAACTTGGGAACCACTGAAAGGTGGGACTGAAAAAGCTGTAACACAAACAGGGCTGATACACACCGCCCTGTTTGCAATGTTGCAGACAATGAGAAGGAGAGAAGAGCTGCAGCCCTTCCAGGAGCCCAGACCTAGGGGCTTCCCATGCCAGGACTGTGACACCCTCTTTGGGCCTGTATGGTTTCTGGCATTTCCAAGCTTCCAGGCACCACCACATTCCCCTCGTCCAGACACAGGTGCCTACAGTGGAAGCTACTTGCAGTGCATCTGATCTAGCCACACAGAGGTTTACATGGAGCTGGCACCTGTGCTGGTGCCTAGAGCTGCCTGCTCCACCACAGCAGCCAGCATGCCTGGCTGTGCACAGTGGCCAGATTTTGTGCTCGCTCACTCATGCACTCCTCACTGCTCTGTGCCTGGCTCGCCCTTGGCAGGTGTGGGATCTGGACTGGTATCACAAGCCAAGCACAGCCTGCAAGGCCAAGGGGGCAGAACAAGCCCAATGGGCCTAAGAAAAACTTGGGCAAAGGTTTCCAGAGGAAAAGCAACACCCAAAGGATGCCATGGCAATGTTAGCTATGGGTTGTCATATATGGCTTTTATTGTATTGAAGTACATTCCCTGTATACCTAATATGTTCAGAGATTTTTAATCATGAAAGGGTGCTGAATTTATCAAATATTTTCTCTGTATCAATTGAGATTATCATATGATTTTTATCCTTCACTTTGCTTATATGTTATATGACATTTATATTTGTATATATTGAACCATCCTTGCATCCTAGGGTTAAATCATACTTGGTCACAGTGGGCAATTCTTTTAATGTGCTATTTTATTTGGTTTACTAGTATTTGGTGGGGGGTGGAATTTTTGCATCTATTTTCATCAGGAATATTGGCCTGTAGTTTTCTTTTTTTTTCAGTGTCCTTGTCTGATATTGGTATCAGGGTAATGTTGACCTTGTAAAATAAGTTTGGAAGTATGTCCTCTGTCATTTTTTGGAAGAGTTTGAGAAATGCTGGCAGTTTTTCTTTAAATGTTTGGTAGAATTCATCAGTGATGTCACTGGGTCCTGGGCTTTTCTTTGATGGGAGAATTTTTATTACTAAGTCAGTCTCCTTACTTATTATTGTTCTGTTCTTTGGATGTAATTCTTTTTTCTTTTTCTAGTTCCTTGATGTGTAACATTAGGCTGTTTATTAGAGATCCTTCTTCTTTGATACAGATGTCTATTGCTATAAATTTCCCTCTCATTTTTGCCTTTAATGCACCCCATAAGTTTTGTGTGTTGTGTTTCCATTCTTGCTTGTCTCAAAATATTTTTTATTTCATTCTTGTTTTTTCCTGCGACCCGATGGTTGTTTGAAAGCATGTTGTTTAATTTCCACATATTTGCCTGTTTTCCAAGATTTCTATTGATTTCTAGGTTGTACCATTGTGGTCTGAAAATATACTTATTATGAGTTTAATCCTCTTAAATTTAAAACTTTTTATGTGGCCTAAGATATGATATGTTCTGGAGAATGTGCACTTGAGAAGAATGTGTGCTCTACTGGTGTTGGATAGAATATTCTGTATATGGCTATTAAGTCCATTTGCTCTAACATGTAGTTTAAGTCCAAAGTTTTCTTATTGATTGTGTGTCTAGATTATCTGTTCATTGCTGAAAGTGGGATTTGAGGTTCCCTACTTCTATTGTGTTGCAGTTTATCTCTCCTTAAAATATTTACTAACTGCTTTGATGTTTTGTGCATATATATTTATATTGTTATATGTTCTTGGTAAATTGAACCCTCTATTATTACATAATGACCTTTTTCTCTTTTTATAGTTACATACTTAAAGTCTATTTTGTCTCATATAAGTATAGCTACCACTGCTTTTTTTTTTTTTGGTTTTTATTTGCATGGAATATCCTTTTTCATCCCCTCACTTTCAGACTTTGTGTGTCTTTACTAGTAATGTGAGTCACTTATAGACAGTAGTATATGGTTGATTTTAAAAATACATTCAGCCAGTCTATGTATTTTAATTGGAGAATTTAACCCATTTACATTCAAGGTTATTTATAGGTACAGACTTCCATTTTATAATTTGTTTTATGTTGGTTTTGTAGATCTTTTATTTTTAATTCTTCTCTGGCTGTCTTCCTTTGAAATTTGATGTTTTCTCACAGTTGCATGCTTTGAATCCTTTGTTTTTTATTGTTTGTGCAATTGCTGTGGCTTTTTAAAAATTATACTTAAAATTGGCCAGGCGCAGTGGCTCACGCCTGTAATCCCAGCACTTTGGGAGGCCGAGGCGGGCGGATCACGAGGTCAGGAGATCGAGACCATCCTAGCTAACATGGTGAAACCCTGTCTCTACTAAAAATACAAAAAAAAATTAGCCAGGCATGGTGGCGGGCACCTGTAGTCCCAGCTACTTGGGAGACTGAGGCAGGAGAATGGCGTCAACCCGGGAGGGGGAGCTTGCAGTGAGCCAAGATTGTGCCACTGCACTCCAGCCTGGGCGACAGAGCAAGACTCCATCTGAAAAAAATAATTATACTTAAAGTTATGGGATACATTTGCAGAATGTGCAGGTTTGTTACATAGGTATACATGTGCCATGCTGGTTTGCCGCACCCATCAACTCATCATCTACATTACGTATTTCTCCTAATGCTATCCCTCCTTAGCCCCCCACACCCTGACATGACCCAGTGTGTAATATTCCCCTCCCTGTGTCCATGTGTTTTCATTGTTCAACTTCCACTTATGCTTGTTTATGGCTGCATAGTATTCAATGGTGTATATGTGTCACATTTTATTTAACCAGCCTATCATTGATGGGCATTTGGGTTGGTTCCAAGTCTTTGCTATTGTGAACAGTGCTGCAATAAACATATGTGTGCATGTGTCTTTATAGTAGAATGATTTATAATCCTTTGAGTATATACTTAGTAATGGGATTGCTGGGTCAAATGGTATTTCTGGTTCTAGATCCTTGAGGAATCGCCACACTGTCTTCCACAATGGTTGAACTAATTTACACTTCCACCAATAGTGTAAAAACTTTCCTATTTCTCCACATTCTCTCCAGCATGGGTTGTTTCCTGACTTTTTAATGATCACCATTCTAACTGGCACAAGATGGTATCTCATTGTGCTTTTGATTTGCATTTCTCTAATGACCAGTGATGATGAGCTTTTTTTCACGTTTGTTGGCCACATAAATGTCTTCATTTGAGAAGTGTCTGTTCATATCCTTCCCCCACTTTTCGATGGCATTGTTTGTTTTTTTTCTTGGAAATTTGTTTAAGTTCTTGTAGATTCTGGATATTAGCCCTTTGTCAGATGGATGGATTGCAAAAATTTTCTCCCATTCTGTAGGTTGCCTGTTCACTCTGATGATAGTTTCTTTTGCTGTGCAGAAGCTCTTTAGTTTAACTAGATCCCACTTGTCAATTTTGGCTTTTGTTGCCCTTGCTTTTAGTGTTTTAGTCATGAAGTCTTTGCCCATGCCTATATCCTGAATGTTATTCCCTAGGTTTTCTTCTAGGGTTTTTACAGTTTTAGGTTTTATGTTTAAGTCTATAATCCATCTTGAGTTAATTTTGTATAAGGTGTAAGGAAGGAGTCCAGTTTCAGTTTTCCACGTATGGCTAGCCAGTTTTCCCAACACCATTTATTAAATAGGGAATCCTTCCCCCATTGCTTATTTTTGTCAAGTTTGTCAAAAATCAGATGGTTGTAGATGTGTGGCATTATTTAAGGCCTCTGTTCTGTTCCATTGCTCTATATATCTGTTTTTGTATCAGTACTATGCTGTTTTGGTTACTGTAGCCTTCTAGTATAGTTTGAAGTCAGGTAGCATGATGCCTCCAGCTTTGTTCTTTTTGCTTAGGATTGTCTTGGCTATACGGGCTCTTTTGTGGTTCCATATGAACTTTAAAGTAGTTTTTTCCAATTCTGTGAAGAAAGTCAGTGGTAGCTTGATGGGGATAGCATTGAATCTATAAATTACCTTGGGCAGTATGGCCATTTTCATGATATTGAGTCTTTCTATCGATGAGCATGGAATATTCTTCCATTTGTTTGTGTCCTCTCTTATTTCCTTTGAGCAGTGGTTTGTAGTTCTCCTTGAAGAGGTCCTTCACGTCCTTTGTAAGTTAGATTCCTAGGTATTTTATTCTCTTTGTAGCAATTGTGAATGGGAGTCCATTCATGATTTGGCTTTCTGTTTGTCTATTATTAGTGTATAGAAATGCTTGTGATTTTTGCACATTGATTTTGTATCCCGAGACTTTGCTAAAGTTGCTTATCAGCTTAAGGAGATTTGGGGCTGAGACACCGGGGTTTTCTAAACATGCAATCCTATCATCTGCAAACAGAGACAATTTGACTTCCTCTCTTCCTATTTGAATACCCTTTATTTCTTTCTCTTGCCTGACTGCCCAGGCCAGAACTTCCAATACTATGTTGAATAGGAGTGGTGAAAGAGGACATCCTTGTCTTGTGCCAGTTTTCAAAGGGAATGCTTCCAGTTTTTGCCCATTCAGTATTATATTGGCTGTGGGTTTGTCATAAGTAGCTCTTATTATTTTGAGATACATTCCATTGACATCTAATTTATTGAGAGTTTTTAGCATGAAGGGGTGTTTAATTTTATCGAAGGCCTTTTCTGCATCTATTGAGATAATGTTTTTGTCATTGGTTCTGTTTATGTGATGGATTACGTTTATTAATTTGCGTATGTTGAACCAGCCTTGCATCCCAAGGATGAAGCCAACTTGATCGTGGTGGATACGGTTTTTGATGTGCTGCTGGATTTGCTTTGCCAGTATTTTATTGAGGATTTTCACATTGATGTTTATCAGGAATATTGGCCTGAAATTTTCCTTTTTTGTTGTGTTTCTGCCAGGTTTTGGTATCAGGATGATGGTGGCCTCATAAAATGAGTTAGGGAAGGAGTTTCTCTCTTTCTATTGTTTGGAATAGTTTCTGAAGGAATAGTACCAGCTCCTCTTTGTACCTCTGGTAGAATTCAGCTGTGAATCCATCTTGTCCTGGGCCTTTTTTGATTGGTAGGCTATTAGTTACTGCCTGAATTTCAGAACTTGTTATTGGTCTATTCAGGGATTTGACTTCTTCCTGGTTTAGTGTTGGGAGGGTGTATGTGTCCAGGAATTTATCCATTTCTTCTAGATTTTCTAGTTTATTTGTGTAGAGGGATTTATAGTATTCTCTGATTGTAGTTTGTATTTCTGTGGGATCAGTGGTGATATCCCCTTTATCATTTTTTATTGTGTCTATTTGATTCCTCTCTCTTTTCTTCTTTATTAGTCTCACTAACGGTCTATCTATTTTGTTAATCTTTTCAAAAAACCACCTCCTGGATTCATTGATGTTTTGAAGGGTTTTTTGTGTCTCTATTTCCTTCAGTTCTGCTCTTATCTTAGTTATTTCTTGTCTTCTGATAGCTTTTGAATGTGTTTGCTCTTGCTTCTGTAGTTCTTTTATTTGTGATGTTAGGGTGTCGATTTTAGATCTTTCCTGCTTTCTCCTGTGGGCATGTAGTGCTATAAATTTCTCTCTAAACAGTGCTTTAGCTGTGTCCCAGAGGTTCTGGTACATTGTGTCTTTGTTCTCATTGGTTTCAAAGAGCTTATTTATTTCTGCTTTAATTTCATTGTTTACCCAGTAGTCATTCAGGAATAGGTTGTTCAGTTTCCATGTAGTTTTGTGGTTTGAGTGAGTTTTTTAATCCTGAGTTCTAATTTGATTGCACTGTGGTCCGAGAGGCTGTTTGTTATGATTTACATTCTTTTGCATTTGCTGAGGAGTGTTCTGTTTCGAATTATGTGATCAACTGTAGAATAAGTGTGATGTGGTCCTGAGAAGAATATATATTATGTTGATTTGGGGTGGAGAGTTCTGTAGCTGCCTATAGGGTCCACTTGTTCCAGAGCTGAGTTCAAGTCCTGAATATCCTTGTTAATTTTCTGTCTCGTTGATCTGTCTAATACTGACAGTTGGGTGTTAAAATCTTCCACTATTATTGTGTGGGAGTCTAAGTCTCTTTGTAGGTCTCTAAGAACTTGCTTTATGAATCTGGGTGCTTCTATATTGGGTGCATATATATTTAGGATAGTTAGCTCTTCTTGTTGCATTGATCACTTTATCATTATGTAATGCCCTTCTTTGTCTCTTTTGATCTTTGTTTGTTTAAAGTCTGTTTTATCAGAGACTAGGATTGCAACGCCTGCTTTTTTCTGCTTTCCATTTGGTTGGTAAATTTCCTCCATCTCTTTATTTTGAGCCTATGTGTGTCTTTGCACGTGAGATGGGTCTCCCGAATATAGCACATTAATGGGTCATGACCCGTTATCAAATTTGCCAGTCTATGTCTTTTAACTGGGGCATTTAGCCTATTTACATTTAAGGTTAATATTGTTATGTGTGAATTTGATCCTGTCATTATTATGCTAGCTGGTTATTTTGCCCATTAGTTGATGCAGTTTCTACAACTTGGTGTGTTTTTGCAATGGCTGGTACTGGTTTTTCCTTTCCATATTTAGTGCTTTCTCCAGGAGCTCTTGTAAGGCAGGTCTGGTGGTGACAAAATCCCTCAGCATTTGCTTTTCTGTAAAGGATTTTATTTCTCCTTCACTTATGAAGCTTAGTTTGGCTGGATATGAAATTCTGGGTTGAAAATCCATTTCTTTAAGAATGTTGACTATTAGCCCTCACTCTCTTCTGGCTTGTAGGGTTTCAGCAGAGAGATCCACTGTTAGTCTGATGGGCTTCCCTTTGTGGGTAACCCAACCTTTCTCTCTGGCTGCCCTTAACATTTTTTCTTTCATTTCAACCTTGGTGAATCTGACGATTATGTGTCTTGGGGTTGCTCTTCTCAAGGAGTATCTTTGTGGTGTTCTCTGTATTTCCTGAATTTGAATGTTGGCCTGTCTTACTAGGTTGGGGAAGTTCTCCTGGGTAGTATCCTGGAGAATCTTTTCCAACTTGGTTCCATTCTCCCCGTCACTTTCATGTATAGCAATCAAACGTAGGTTTGGTCTTTTCACATAGTCCCATATTTCTTGGAGGCATTGTTTGTTCCTTTTCATTCTTTTTTTCTCTAATCTTGTCTTCATGTTTAATTTCATTAAGCTGATCTTCAGTTTCTGATATCATTGTCTTCCACTTGATCGATTTGGCTGTTGATACTTGTGTATGCTTCACAAAGTTCTCATGCTGTGTTTTTCAGCTCCATCAGGTCATTTATCTTCTTCTCTAAACTGGTTATTCTAGTTAGCAGCTCCTCTAACCTTTTTTCAAGGTTCTTAGCTTCCTTGCATTGGGTTAGAACATGCTCCTTTAGCTCAAAGGAGTTTGCTATTACCCACCTTCTGAAGCCTACTTCTGTCAATTCATCAAACTCATTCTCCATCCGGTTTTGTTCCCTTGCTGGTGAGGAGTTGTAATCCTTTGGAACAGAAGAGGCATTCTGGTTTTAGGAATTTTCAGCCTTTTTGCACTGGTTTTTCCTCATCTTCATGGATTTATCTACCTTTGGTTTTTGATGTTGGTGACCTTCGAATGGGGTTTCTGTGTGGACATCCTTTTTGTTGTGTTGATGTTGATGCTATTCCTTTCTGTTTGCTAGTTTGCCTTCTACCAGTCAGGACCCTCTGCTGCAGGTCTGCTGAAGTTTACTGGAGGTCCACTCCAGGCCCTGTTTGCTTGGGTATCATCAGCGGAGGGTGCAGAACAGCAGAGATTGCTGCCTGCTCCTTCCTCTGTAAGGTTCGTCCCAGGGGGGCATCCACCATATGCCAGCCGGAGCTCTCCTGTATGAGGCGTCTGTCGACCCCTGCTGGGAGGTGTCTTTCAGTCAAAAGGCACAGGGGTCAGGGACCCACTTGAAGAGGCAGTCTGTCCCTTAGCAGAGCTCAAGCACTGTGCTGGGAGAGCTGCTGTTCTCTTCAGAGCAGGCAGGCAGGAACGTTTAAGTCTGCTGAAGTTGTGCCTACAGCTTCTCCTTCCCCCAGGTGCTCTGTCCCAGGGAGATGGGAGTTTTATCTCTAAGCCCTTGACTGGGGCTGCTGCCTTTCTTTCAGAGATGCCCTGCCCAGAAAGGAGGAATCTAGAGAGGCAGTCTGGCTACAGAGGCTTTGCCAAGCTGCAGTAGGCTCCATAGAGTTTGAACTTCCTGGTGGCTTTGTTTACACTGTGAGGGAAAAACTGCCTACTCAAGCCTCAGTAATGGTGATGTCCCTCTGCCCACCAAGCTCGAGTGTCCTGGGTTGACCCCAGACTGCTCTGCTGCCAGTGAGAATTTCAAGCCCTTGGATCATAGCTTGCTGGGCTCCATGGGGGTGGGATCCACTGAGCTAGACCACTTGGCTTTCTGGCTTCAGCCCCCTTTCCAGGGGAGTGAATGGTTCTGTCTCGCTGCCATTCCAGGTGCCACTGGGGTATGAAAATCTCCTGCAGCTAGCTTGGTGTCTGCCCAAACGGCCACCCAGTTTTGTGCTTAAAACCCAGGGCCCGGGTGGTGTAGGCACCCAAGGGAATCTTCTGGTCTATGAGTTGCAAAGACCATGGGAAAAGCATAATATCTGGGTTGTAGTGCACCATTCCTCATGGCACAGTCCCTCACATCTTCCCTTGGCTATGAGAGGGAGTTCCCCAACCCCTTGCACTTCCCAGGTGAGGTGATGCCCCACCCTACTTCAGCTCCCTTTCCGTGGGCTGCACCCACTGTCTAACCAGTCCCAATGAGATGAGCCAGGTACCTCAGTTGGAAATGCAGAAATCACCTCCCTTCTGCATTGATCTTGCTGGGGGCTGCAGACCGCAGCTGTTCCTATTTGGCCATCTTGCCAGCCACCGCCTGCTGTGGTTTTTTTGTGTTGTGGTTACCATGAGGCATACACAAAATATCCTTTTAACAGGCTATTTTATTCTGATAACTTTAATCACATACAAAAACTCTACACTTTCACTCCTTTCCACTTCTTATGATTTTGATGTCAAAATTTACATGTTTTGTAATTTGTATTTCTTTACAATTTATTTTAGTTATAGGTGCTTTTAATAATTTTGTCTTTTAACTGTGACAGTAGGGATAAATTAGCTTTAAATACCACCCTTACTGTATTAGAGAATTCTGAATATGACTATATATTATTTTTACCAGTGAGTTTTTTACTTCCATATGTTTTTGTTATTATAATCCTTTTGTTTTAGTTAAAGGGCTCCCTTTAGTAATATTTATAAAATAGATCTAATAATGATTAATTACCATAGCTTTTGTTTGTCTGGGAAAGATTTTATTTCTCCCTCATTTCTGAAGGACAGATTTGCTAGTAATGTAATCTTGATTGGCAATCTTTTCCTTCAACACTTTGAATACATAATGCCATTCTTTCCTGGCATGCAGGATTGCTGCTAAGAGAAAGGCTGAAAACCATATTGG
Organism: Homo sapiens; assembly: GCF_000001405.40. Classification (NCBI taxonomy): domain Eukaryota; kingdom Metazoa; phylum Chordata; class Mammalia; order Primates; family Hominidae; genus Homo; species Homo sapiens. Next base: position 180,925,436 of record NC_000005.10, on the reverse strand, counting down.
GGCTCTCTTGAATGCGATATGGTTCATTCTCTTGCTGCTTTCAGTATTCTTTCTTTGTCTCTGATTTTTTGATAATTGGAATATGATATATCTTGGTAAAATCCTCTTTGGGTTGAATTTGATTGATGACATCCAAGCTTCCTGAACCTGGATATTTTTGTGTTTCACCACATTTGGGAAATTTTCAGCCATTATTTTCTTAAATATGCCTTCGGGATCTTGTTCTCTCTCATCTCCTTCTGAAACTCCTATTATGCAAAAGTCAGTACACTTAATGGTGTCCAATAATTCCTATAGGTCTTTTTCATTTTTTATTCTTTTTTCTTTTTTATTCTCTGACTGGATAATTTAAAATATCCAGTCTTCAAGCCCAGTGATTCTTTGCCTTGATCAAGTCTGCTGTTGAAGCTTTCTAGTTAATATTTTGGTTCAGTTATTGTATTCATCATTTCTAGGATTTTAACTATTTTATTGTTTTTATTCCTTTGTCAAGCTTTTCTTTTTGTTCATTAACCATTTTTCAAATGTTATTTATTTTCTATCTGCATTTTCTTGTAGTTTCCTGAACTTCTTTAAGGGGATTATCTTAAATTCTTAGTGGTCTCATAGACTTGCATATTTCAGGGTCTATTACCGGAGCATTATTAGTTTCTTTTGGTGTCATATTTTCTTGATTTTTAAAATAATCCTTCTGTCTTTGTGTTGGTGCCTGCACATTTGAAGAAATGGCCACCTTTTCTGGCCTTTGCAAGTGTTCTTTCTCAGTAAGAGGTCTTCACTATTTAATATAGCCTGGGATTCTGAATAGGCCAACTGGTAGCAACCTCAGACAGGCAGATGTGGGTGTTGGGTTCTCTAGTTGGGCTGGGCCACTACCTGTGCTCTGACATTAAATGGAACTGCTGGCTGTGCTCCTGTGACAGGTGGTGCTGCTGATTGGGCTCTGCAGTTGCCTGATTGTCCAGGGTTAGAGGTTGTCTTTCTTGCTAGATGGTACTGTTGTTTGGAATCTGTAGTTGGTCAGGGACGTGTGCTGAGCTCTGAGGCTGGGTGAGATTTCTGGGGTTGCTGCTTGATCACTCAGGGTGGGCAGGGCCAGAGGCTATGCTCCACAGATGTGTGTGGACTTGGGCTTGGCTCCTAGTCTAGAGTAGCCTTAAGCAGAACACCAATGGTGGGTTGAGTTGCTGCATAGCTACTGGGTCTGGGCAAGATCAGATGCTCCCTCTGTAGATAATCACAGAGCTGCTATTGTCTTCCTATCTAGGGAATATGCAAAGAGAACCCAAGGCTGGCTGAGTCGCTGCTCAGCTGCTGAGGTTGGCCAGGGCCAGATGCTCCCTGTATGGTCAACTGCCAGTGTGCACTTGCCTCCCACGCTGAGTAAGGCTTAAAGACAGCATCAGGAATTGTGTTGCTACTTGACCAGTGGGGCTCAGTAGGGCCAGATGTGTCTCTCCTCTTATTTTAGTTATTTTAGTAAACTTATCTAATCCTTAATAAGAGTATAAAAATATTTTATTAAATATATTTCTATGTGACATTTTGTGTTATTATACATGGCATATTTGTTTGTTTTTCTGTCTTTGCTGGTGTATAAAATGCAATGTATTTTGTTTACTGATCTTATTTTTATGAACATAATGAAGTATAAATTGAAAGAATTTGTCTGTAGATTAATCCAGATTTCCAATGTGTATTATCATATAACCTGTTGGAAATAGGCATTCTATTTTTTCCTTCCTGGAAATTGTAATTCTTTTTTCACTTTCTTTCTTTTTTTGCAATGATTACTATTCCAGCATATTGTTGAACAGCAATGTTTAATGCAGTTATCTTCATTAAGTTCCTGGGTTTAAACCTCCTACCATGATGTATCATGGTAGCTATGGGTATTTTTAAATAGCTTTCTATCAGATGAAAGAACTGCTCTTCTGTTGCTAATTCATAAAAGGTTTTCTTTTATTTCTGGATTCACAAGTGTTTTAAATCATAGTTAGATGTTGAAACTTATATATGTTTTATTAACATCTATAGAGAATCTTATAGATTTTCTCCTTTAACTTATTAAGGTAATACTTACATAAATATACATATCCCAATGTTGACCTAACCTTTTATTCCTGGGTAAGCTCAATTCAGTCATAATATATTAGGTTTTTTAAAAAACATTTGCTTGGAGTTTATAAAATTTCTAATTGGAATTTTACATTTATGTTTCTGAAAATTTCTTATTAATATTTTTTAAACTGCCTTATTGGCTAAATCCTCCAATTAAAAGGCACAGAGTGGCAAGCTGGATAAAGAAACAAGACCAAATGGTATGCTGTCTTCAAGAGACTAATCTCACACGCAACAACATCCATAGGCTCAAAATAAAGGGATGTAGGAAAATCTACTAAGCAAATGGAAAGCAGGAAAAAGCAGGAGTTGCAATTATAATTTGAGACAAAACAGACTTTAAACCAACAATAATCAAAAAGACAAAGAAAGGCAATATATGATGGTAAAGGGTTCAGTTCAACAAACATAACTATCCTGAATATATATGCACCCAACACAAAAGCACCCAGATTCATAAAGCAAGTTCTTGGAGACCTTCAAAGAGATTTAGACTTCCACACAATAATAGTGGGAGACTTCAACACCCCACTGACTGTATTAGATAGATTATTGAGGCAGAAAATTAACAAGATATTCAGGACCTGAACTCACACTGGATCAAATGGATCTCATAGACATCTACATAACTCTCCACCCAAAAATAACAGGATATACATTCTTCTTATCACTACATAGCACATACTTTAAAACTGACCACATAATCAGACACAAAACACTTCTTAGCAAATGCAAAAGAACTGAAATCATAACAACCGCTCTCTCAGACCACAGCTCAATACGATTACAGATCAAGGCTAACAAAATCACTCAAAACAATACAATTACATGGAAATTGAATAACCTACTCCTGAATGACTTTTGGGTAAATAATGAAATTAAGGCAGAAATTAAGAATTTCTTTGAAACTAATGAGAAAAAAGACACAACATACCAGCACCTCTGGGACACAACCAAGGCACTGTTAAGAGGGAACTTTATAGCACTAAACAACTACATCAAAAAGTTAGAAAGATCTCAATTTAAGAACCTATTATCACAACTAAAAGAACTAGAGAACCAAGAGAAAATCAATCCCAAAGTTAGCAGAAGATAAGACATAACAAAATCAGAGCTGAACTGAAGGAGATTGAGATATGAAATACCATTCAAAAGATCAATGAATCCAGAGTTGGATTTTGAAAAAAATTAATAAAATATATAGACCACTAGCTAGGCTAATAAAGAAAAGAGAAAAAAATATCCAAATAAACACAATCAGAAATGACAAAGGGGATATTACACTGAGCCAAAAAAATACAAATAACTATCAGAGACTATTATGAACACCTCTATTCACACAAACTAGAAATTCTAGAAGAAATGGATACATTTATTTAAAGGTGTTAATTTATTTTTCTGTTTTGTTTTTTGTTTCATAAAACCATTTATCAAGTATGATAGGTATGATTCACATGTAAAAAGCTGTACATATTTAATTTATACAACTCAAAGAGTTTGGTGATAAGTATATACCCATTCAAATCATCACCACCATCAAGACTATAGACATATCCATCATCTCCCGTAGTTTCCTCCTACCCCTTTTATTATAATTATTACAATTATTGTGTGTGTGTCTGTGTGTGTGTGTGTGTGTGTGTGTGTGTGTGTGTAGTATGAGCAGAATATAAGATCTACCCTCTTCACAGAATTTAAGAATACAATAGTTTATTGTTAGCTACAGGCACTGTGCTGTATAGTAGATCTCCAGAACTTCTTCATCTTGCACAAATGAAACTTTTTTATACCTTTTGAATATCACCTTCCCATTTTTCCCTCCCCTCATTCCCTGGCAATCACAGTTATGCTCTATGATTCTATGACTGATGATTTTAGATTACACATATAAGTGAGATCATTTTTATGTCTGGCTTATTTTACTTAACATAATGTCCTCCATGTTCATCCATGTGTCGGGATTACCTCTTTTTTATTGTTGAGTAATATTTCATTACATATGTCACTTTTTAAATCCATTCATCTGTCAGCAAATAGATTGTTTTCATATCTTGGCTACTGTGAACTATGCCACAATAAACATGGAAGTGCAAGTATCTTTTTGAAATCCTGACTTCAATTCTTTTGGATAAATGCACGGAAGCAGGATTGCTGGATTATAAATTATCAATGAGGTTACTTATTTTATATAATTTTGTACACTGCAACTTTACTAAATGTATTAGCTCTAACAGTTTTTTGTGGAATCTTTAGGGTTTATCTACATATAAGACTATGTAGCATAGTTCTATTTGTATTTTTTTAAGGAATCTGCATACTGTTTTCCATAGTGGCTGTATCAATTTATATTCCCAGCAACAATGTAGTAACACCTGTAATATTTCTTAAGTTAGTAATAACCAGTCTAACAAGTATGAGGTGATCTCTCCTTATACTTTTGATTGAATTTCCCTGATGGTTAGTGATAGTGAGTCACTTTTCATAAATCTCTTGGCTATTAATATTTATATGTCTTTTGGGGAAAATGTTTATTCATGTACTTTGCCCATTGTAAAAATTGGAATATTTTTGGTTATTGAGTTGTATGAGTGTCTTACATATTTTGGACATTAACTCTTTATCAGGTATATACTTTGAAAATATTCTCCCATTCCACATGTTGCTTTTTATTTTGTTGATTATCTCCTTTGCTGTGCAAAAGCTTTTTAGTTTGATGTAATCTTACTTGTTCATTTTTGCTTTCATTGCCTGTGCTTTTGGTGTCAGGGTGAAAAATCACTGCCAAGATCAATGTCAAGGAGATTTTTCTGTATGCTTTCTTCTAAGAGTTTATAGTTTAAGGCCTTTTGTTTATATCTTTAATTCATTTTGAATTGATTTTTGTGTGTGATGGAAAATATGAGTCCAATATCACTCTGTTGCATGTAAATATCCAGTTTTCCAAACACCATTTGTTAAAGAAACTATCATTTATCCATTTTGTATTCTTGGTAATCTTACTGAAGATTAGTTGACCATATAGCATGGGTTTATTTCTTGGCTCTTAATTCTGTTCCATTAATCTATATGTCTGTTTTTATGCCAGTACCATATGGTTTTAATTACTATTAGGTTGGTGCAAAAGTCTTTGCAGTCTTTGCTATTACTTTCAATGGCAAAAACCACAATTACTTTTGCACCAACCTAATATAACATAATTTGAAATCAGGTAGTATGATGCTTGTACTTTGTTCTTTTTGCTCAAGTCTTATTTGGCTATTCAGGGTCTTTTGTGATCCCATGTGAATTTAGATTGTTTTCTAATTCTGTGAGAAATGCCTTTGAATTTTAATAGTGATTGCATTAAATCTATAAATTGATTTGGGTAGTATGAACATTAAGCAATATTAATTCTATGAACACATGATACATTTCTATTTATTTGTGTTATAGTCCATTTCTTTCACCAGTGTCTTATAGTTTTCAGTGTACAGATCTTTGACCTCATTGGCTAAATTTACTTCTAATTTTTTGATGCTATTTTAAATGAAGTTGTTTCCTTGATTTCTTTTCAGACAATTTATTGTTAGTGTATAGAAACACTACTAATTTTATATGTTGATTTTGTATCCTACAACTTTGCTAAATTCATTTATTAAGTTCTAACAGGTTTTAGTGGATTCTCTAGGGCTCACTACGTGTCATGTCATCTCCAAACAGAGACATTTATGTTTCTTCCTTTCTGATTTGGTTGCTTTTTATTAATTTTCTTTTTTGCCCAATTGCTCTGGCTATAACATCCAATACTATGTGGCAAGAGTGGACACCTTTATCTTGTTCCTAATCTTAAAGGAAAGCTTTCACTACTTCAGTGTTGAGGATAATGTTAGCTATGAGCTTATAATATGTAAACCAAAAATAAAATTCTAAGCTTCCCAGTCAACTGAATGGACCCCCTCTTCTCAAGAAAGGGAATTCCCAAGTAAACCTGAAGGACTAGTCCAGGCCATGATGGGAAGGTGAGGTTGGACATGCCTCATTATGTCCTCTTCCCTTTGGAGTTCAGGAACAACTGAGCAGCATTAACATTACAACAGAGGTCTTAAGACTGACAAAACAGACTCTTTGTAGCAATAAGATACCAAATCCCAACTGGACTATCATATAGCATCACATGACAGATAGCAGGCCCTGAAAGAATTTAAAATATTTTACCCCAAAGCATATTTCTTTGACATATTTTGAAATAGCCTGGCAAAGCTGCCTCTGGTGGGGGAAATGTAAATTCTCTACAGAATGTAAATTTCCCTTTCCAGGTCTTTGTCTGATCCCGAAGAGACTGATTAGCTGAGAGTCTAGCAATTTTTAAAGATCTGAATATGAAACATTTGCCACCTATTGCCTCTAAGGGTCGCCACTTATGAGACTTCATCTACATGTAAGAACCTTGGTCTCCACAACCCCCTATCCTAATCTAGACACTCTTTTCTATGGATTCCAGGTCTTTTAGATAACTCACAACCATTTGCCAACCAGAAAATCTTCTAATCTACCTATTACTTGGAAGCCCCCATTTCAAGTTGTCCTGCCTTTCTAGACCAAACCAGTGTACACCTTACATATATTGATTGATGTCTGTCTGTAATTTCTGTCCCCTTAAAACATAAAATCAAGCTGTAACTCAACCACCTTGGGCACATGTTCTCAGGACTTGTTGAGACTATGCCTTGGGCTTTGGTCACTCACATTTGGCCCAGAATAAACCTCTTTAAATGTTTTATAGAGTTTGACTCTTTTTGTTGACACATATGTGATCTTTATTATGTTGAGGTACATTCTTTTGTTACCTAGTCTGTTGACTTTTATTATGAAAAGATGCTGAATATTGTCAAATGCTTTCTCTGCGTTTGTTAACATAATTATACATTATTTGTTCTTCATTCTGTTAATGTCATATATTATATTTATTTATTTGCGTGTGTTGAAACATTCTTGCATCCCAGAGATAAATCCCACTTGATCATGGGGATACGTTTAATGTTTCTTTTAATGTACTTTGTAATTATTCTTTTTATCATGAATTTGGTTGGCTAATATTTGTTGGAAATGTTTGCATCTATGTTTATCAGGGATATTGGCATGTAATTTTCTTCTTTTTTATGGTGTTCTTATATGGTTTTTGTATCAGGGTAACTGTGGCCTCATAAAATGAGTTTGGAATTATTCCCCATCTTTAATTTTTTGCAAGAGTTTGAAAAGTATTGGCATTAATTTTTCTTTCTTTGTTTATTTCTTTTTTTTTTTTTTTGAGACAGAATCTCACTCTGTCACCCAGGCTGGAGTGCAGTGGCGCCATCTCAGCTCACTGCAAGCTCCACCTCCCGGGTTCACGCCATTCTCCTGCCTCAGCCTCCCAAGTAGCTGGGACTACACACACCCGCCACCATGCCCGGCTAATTCTTTTGTATTTTTAGTAGAGACAGGGTTTCACCGTGTTAGCCAGGATGGTCTCGATCTCCTGACCTCGTGATCCACCCACCTCGGCCTCCCAGAGTGCTGGGATTACAGGCACCCGCCACCACGCCCAGCTAATTTTTTGTGTTAATTTTTCTTTAAATATTTTGCAGAATTCACCAGCAGAGCCATCTGGTCATGGAATTTTCTTTGTTGGGAGGATTTTGATTATCAATTGTATTTCTAACTAATTACTGGTCTGGTATTTTTTTTAAATTATTCTGATTCAGTTTTTATAGGTTGTATGTTTCTAGGAATGTATCCATTTCTGCTAGGTTATCCAATTTGTTGGCCTGTAATTTTTCATAGTGCCGTAGTCTAACCTTGTCTTTGGTTTCTGCTAGGTTATCCAGTTTGTTGGCCTATGATTTTTCATAGTGCCGTAGTCTAACCTTGTCTTTGGTTTCTGCTAGGTTATCCAGTTTGTTGGCCTATGATTTTTCATAGTGCCGTAGTCTAACCTTGTCTTTGGTTTCTGCTAGGTTATCCAGTTTGTTGGCCTATGATTTTTCATAGTGCCATAGTCTAACCTTGTCTTTGGTTTCTGCTAGGTTATCCAGTTTGTTGGCCTATGATTTTTCATAGTGCCGTAGTCTAACCTTGTCTTTGGTTTCTGCTAGGTTATCCAGTTTGTTGGCCTATGATTTTTCATAGTGCCGTAGTCTAACCTTGTCTTTGGTTTCTGCTAGGTTATCCAGTTTGTTGGCCTATGACTTTTCATAGTGCCATAGTCTAACCTTGTCTTTGGTTTCCGCTAGGTTATCCAGTTTGTTGACCTATGATTTTTCATAGTGCCGTAGTCTAACCTTGTCTTTGGTTTCTGCTAGGTTATCTGGTTTGTTGGCCTATGATTTTTCATAGTGCCGTAGTCTAACCTTGTCTTTGGTTTCACTTTTCATGATTTCAGTTACTCGTGATCAATTGTGGCCCAAAAATATTGAATGAAAAATTTCATAAATAAACAATTTGTAAGTTTTAAATTGCACACCATTCTGAGTAGCATGATGAAATCTCTATCATCCTGCTCTGTTCCATTTGAGACATGAAAAATAGCATATATAGGGTTTGGTACTGTACGTGGTTTGTGGCATTCACTGGGGATCTTGGAATGTAACCCCTGTGGATAAGGGAGAACTACGATAGTCTCATGACATTTTATATTTATTTCTGTGGTACCAGTTGTAATGTATCATCTTTTATTTATAATTCTATTTATTTGAGTCAGCTCTTTTTTTCTTGGTTAATCTAGGTAAAGGCTTGTCAATTTTACTTATCTTTTCAAATAAACAACATTTAGTTTTATTGATCTTTTTATTGTTTTTCTATTTCATTTATTTCTGCTCTAATTATTATTTTTTCCTTCCTTCTGCTAAATTTTGGCTTAGTTTTTTCTTTTTCTAATTTCTTGAGGTATAAACTTAGGTTGTTCATTTGAGATCTTTCTTTTTTCTTAATGTAGATATTTATAGCTATAAACTTTTAGAACTGGTTTTGCTACATTCCATAGATTTCGCTATTGTTTAAAAATTTTTCATCATCACTGTGGTTTCAATGTATCCCCAGAGTTTATGTGTTGAAAACTTAATCCCCAATGCAATAATGTTGACAGGTGGGACCCTTAAGAGGTGACAAGGCCATGAGGATCCTGCCCTCGTGAGTGGATTAATGCCATTTTTGCAGAAGCAGCTTCCTTCCTCTTTCTTACTCTCTTGCCATTCTACCTTCCTCCATGGAATTACACAACTAGAAGGCCCTCACAGGATGTGACCCCTTGATCTTAGACTTCCCAGCCTCCACGACCATGAGCCAAATAAACCTCTGTTCATTATCAATTACCCAATCTCAGGTATTCTGGTACAGCAGCATAAAGTGGACTAAGACAACCACTGGGTATATGCTCTGTGGGCATGTTACGTATGGCCTTTATTGTGTTGAGCTACATTGCTTCTATACCTAATTTATTGAAAGTTGGTTTTGTCATGAAAGGGTGTTGAATGTTGTCAAATGCTTTTTCTGCATCTATTGAGATGATCATATTGTTTTTGTCTTTCATTCTGTTAGTGTAATATTTATTGATTTGCATATGTTGAACCATCCTTATGTTCCAAGGATAAAGCTCACTTAATCATGGTAAATGAATCTTTTAATGTGCTGTGAATCTGTTTGACAGTATATTTTGTCTTTCTGTCACTCCTCCTCCTCTAGTCTGTACTGGCAGACTTTGGTAGACAAAGACCTTGACCAGTCAGCCTGGCTAGATACTCTGGAAGTCTCTCAGATCTTTTTTATGGATGTACCTGCTTTACTTTTCTCGTTCCTTCTTGGTGAGAGGAAGTCTTGGGATTTTCTTTTCTCAGTCCTGCAAAGCAGGCTGGCTGCTGAGAGCCTTGCATTTATTTATCCCTAGGGCAATTCCCTAAAATACTCAAGATTGTGCACCTTCTCTCAATCCAGCAGAGTCAAGCTGATTGCTATCTGTGTTCTGACTGCAGAAGTTTGTATGCACATCTGCTGAGGCTCAGGCACCCTGTCTGCAGGGAAGCACGTGCCCCACTGTGATGGACCAAGAGGTTCTAGCCACAGGGGTGGTGTGTGGAGGGCTGGGGGCACATATCAGCTGGTTGGGTAGTCAGCAGGTTGTGAGGTGGGCCTCTAGTAGAGTGCAGGGGCTGGCCAGTAGGTTCTGCTGCTTGTTGTTCAGGTCCATGCACTGGCTGCCATAAGCCCCCTCCTCTTTCCCTACTCCTAGCTGCCCCCAGATGATTCAGCCACATGGTCCCCTCAGTGTTCTGCATTAAGTGAGACAGAAATGGGTTTCCTGGGCAGCATCCCACAAGCCTGGGGAATCTGGACATTCACTTTGCTCTCACTTTCCCCATGGCAAAAATTGTGGGCTGAGGGAGTCTCTCTTGGCACTGAGTTACCTCGGAAGAGCAGTGAGGCGGGTAGAAGGAAACAGTTCTTACCTTCCTCCATGCATCTGTTCTTGGCTTTTTTGCCTGACCAACCAGTTGGAACCTCTCAAGTGGCTTCCTAGACTCCTACAAAAATACTTTTGTTCATGGTAGTTGTTAAAATTAGTGTTTCTGTGGGAGTTTGAGAACTGAAAACTCCATTTCACCATCCTAATCATGTCACTTCTTAAAAGGTATAGTTGTGTGATAGTTTGTATGTATAGTTTCATTATCATTCAGTCCTAAGACACTTTTAATTATCATTATGACTTTTTCAATGACCACTTAGTTATTTTTGAAGTATGTTTTGAAAGTTTCAAACATATATGAATATTAAATTGTTTTTCTTTTTCTCATTGAATTTAATTATATTGTGATTAGAAATCATCGTTTGAATCATACCAGTCTTTGTCCATTTGTGCTGCTATAACAAAATACTACAGACTGGCTCATTTGTAAACAATAGAAATGTATTTCTCATAGTTCTGGAGGCTGGGAAGTCCAAGGTCAAGTATCAATAGATTTGGCATCTGATGAGGACTGTCCTCTGTTTCAAGATGGCACCTTGTTGCTGTGTCCCCTGAAGGCGATGAACACTGTGTCCCTCACATGGCAGAAGGGGTGGAAAGGGTAAGTTCACCCCCTTAAATCCTTTTATAAGGCACTAACCCATTCATATGGGCATAGTCCTCAGGACTTAATCACCTCCTAAAAAGCCCACCTCTTAATAGTGCTGCATTGGGGATTTCGTTTCAACATGAATTTTGGAGAAGACACAACACTAAAACCATATCGCAATACCATTTTCTTCAAAGTTTTTGTAAAGCATTTTATGTGCTTGAGCCTGATGAGAGTTAATTTATGGTCTGTGTGTGCTTCCAATGCTTTGTGGTGGGTGCAGCCTTCTAAGAATATCTATTAAATTGGGTTTGTTAATTTTTAGTTCAAGTATTCTATATTCTTACTGATTCAAGTCACATTGCAACTTGGCGGCCCATGATTAAGTGTTCAGTCTTTCCTAAGGTCTAGCCCAAGATGTATTTTTCAAAAGAAGAGTAGTTATTCGTAGAGAATGGCAGGGCTCTGCTTCTCAATCCTGAGGGCCTGTGCCATGATTCACTTACAGGGGCCTGGCAAAGGCTCCTAACAGCATGCCCACCTGTCACTCTCTGTGGGCCACATTTTGATCCATGCTTCAGCCAACCAAACGATAGAGGCCTTTCTAACACTCTGAGCTGCAACATTAAATGCAGGATCTCTGATTAGTGAGGCCATTACATGTGGTTTGAGCCAACCTTACGTCCTTGTACCACCACCTTACACCCTTAATATCATTTGACATGGATTCTCTGGATTTCTGGTCTGTATAGATTAGAAAAACCAACTAGCTCTTTTGGAGTGTAGTACACTTTCTAATGAGTCATGCATTGTTTCCAACTTTAGGGTCCTGCTGAAACTTGAGCCTAGGTACAGATCTAGAAGCAAAGAGGAATGGTAGGGGTGGGTCCTGCGTAGCATCAGCATTGTCTTGCATGGTGACTGCCTCAGGAAAGAGGCCATTACAGTTTCTTTGGGCAATGCAGGGTTAATCCCCTGAGATGAAGGTGGAGAGGCTACTTCTAATTGACATAGAGAGACTGAGACTGCTTTCACTGGCAAAGACTCATCAGCATTTGAGGCTCAATGTCCCCAGCTTCATCAGTCTTCCCATACATCCCCATTTCAACTTTCTGAATCTCATTTCTTCCCAGTCAATGCCCCCTCACATTGACAGATACCCTGAGGAACAGGTTTGGATTTCCATTGTCGTTCAGCCAGTCACAGAATGAGTTCTCAATTTGGTTTTCAGCAATCTTAGCCCTGTGGCTACAGAAAATAAGGGTCTCTTTCAGGGCACTCATGGAAGCTTTCAGGTTATTTATGCAACACCAAGAAACTCAGAATTCAAATTCCTCCGCTCATATTTCCTTTCATCACTTTCCTCACTTTTTCTAGCAAGAATAGGAGCAACCAGCCAATCTCATCTTATTCACTAGGTCGACACACATGTTTGAAAATATCATATACCAGTCAACCCATGCTTAATTATGGGTCGCAAATGGTGAAATTTTGCATATCTGTATTGCTAGATCACAACATGAACTTTCAGTGCTTTTTGTTTTGTTTGTTTGAAGACGGGGTCTTGCTATGTTGTGTAGGCTGGCCTCAAACTCCTAGGCTCAAGTGATCCTCCCACCTCAGCCTCCTGAGTAGCTGGGACTACAGGTGTACACAGTAATCCCAGCTCAGAGAATTTTAGAATTTTAGGGATGACTGAAAAGTTATCCCTAAAATTCTTTTTCTCTAGAAATACTCTTGGTACCAAATCTGTATTAGTGAGAGTTCTCCAGAGTAACAGAACCACTAGGATGTATACACACATACATATATATATATATATACATCCTGTTGTTTCTATATATTTGAGAGAGAAAGATGGAGATAAAGAGAGAAAGGAAGAGGAGAGACAGATTTAGTATAAAGAATTGGCTTGCATACATCATGGAAGCTCTTTTAGGTCCCAACTCATGGGTGAGTCAGCAATCTGGAGCCCCAGGAGAGCCAATGGTTCATTTACGTTGAAACCAGAAGACCTGAGAACCAGAAGAGCCAATGGTGTCACTCCTGTCCAAAAGTCCGCAGGCTCAAGACATAGAAAGAGCCAGTGGTTCAGTTTGAGTCTGAAGGCCAGCAGCCTGCTCTGAGGCCAGGAAGAGCCAGTGTCCCAGTTAAAAGGCTACTATGCAAGATCATTCTCTCACTCAGGGGAGGGTCGACCCTTTGTTCTATTCAGGTCTTCAGCTGATTGGATAAGCCCACCCGCATTATGGAGGGCAATCTTCTTTACTCAGTTTACCAATTCAAATGTGAATCTTATGTGTAAACACCCTCACAGAAGCATCCTGAATAATACTTGACCAAATCTGAGCAAATCGTGACCCAGTCAAGTGGACCCAAAAAATTAACCATCACAGGGTTACGTCACAGCTGAAGGAAATACTTAATTCTACTCCCCTGGAATTGTAAACAATTCTATTTCCACCTAACCAAATGTTTATAACTTTACTTTTACATCTCATTGATTTTAAACTTTTAAAATAAATCATTAGAACTGAGAAAGATAAAACAGCAATGCCAAGATGGAGGCTCCTGTCCTCCCTCTGAGTTACCGAAGCATCCACCCCTCCTTCTCTTCTCCTCCCCTCCCTACTCACCTCCTATCTGTACCCTGGATTCCACCTCTCGGCTCAGATGAGCATGCCGCATGGAACAGGATATGCTCCCGGCGTTCTCTTGGACGGTCAGAGAGATCTCCACATCAAACAGGCCATGCATGTCTCTGTTTGTCCTGGAGTCTGTGGACAAATCCTGTCCTTGTGGACCTTTCCACTTCGCTGTGGGCCGGGGGAACCAGCCCGAGGACTGACAGAGTAGCTGGATGTCTCTATCAACATATCCCGTGATGGAAATGAGAGGAACTGAGCCCAGTGCTGGGGAGAAAACAGGGAACGGTTGAAAGCAAAGATCACATCCCAAAGCCACAGCAATTCTGAGTCAGGTGCATTCAGTCCACCCCCCACCCATTCTCTCTCTTACACACACAAACACTAAAACCACGACCTTTGGCAAAAGCCTTCCCATGGCCTCTGTTCGTTGCCATTTTTTAGCAACTACTGTGTATGCGTGGCTATTCCTAAGCACCAGTCATGATGAAGTAAGACAAAACTGCTTCTATGAGAAACTTGTCAGGAGCTCAGCTAAAGTAGAGAGAGTGCTGAGCCGCCAGGCGTAGGAGTAACAGACCAAAGGAACGATGACCCGAATTAAAGTAATAGTGAAGCCTCTAATCAGTTGCTACAAAAGTAAGAGCTAAACCAAGGAAGATGCCAACCCCTCCCTGTCTCATCCTCCCCCATGAAATGGAATTCCAGTTGAGGGGCAGATGGATCATCACACGTGTGGGGCTGACTCACTAGTGATGGAGTGCTGAACAAAAGGCTTCACAGCTTTATGAATCCTGAGCTCAGGAGGAGGTGTAGGGAGGAGGAATTAGAGGGTAAGATACTGGATACTAAGACAGAGTAGAGAAAAGTGTCTTGGAGTTTGCCTTTTCTGTCATGGGGGAATGGCAGCCAGTGGTGTGGGGGTAAAAGAATTTACCAAGATGGTTGTAGGTAGAGAAAGGCAGATTTATTAGAGAAAGTAGGAAAGTACTTTGCAAGGAAGGCAATAGGCAAGTTAGCATGAGGGAAGCTAACTGCAAGAAAAAAAAGTCTCAGGGATTTTATAGAATGGAGCTTGGGCTGATCGATAATGCCAAGGTAGCAGGGAGCCTAACTTATATTCTTTTGTCAGCTGGGATATTTGATAAATTGAGGTGTTTGATGATAAGCAGGAAGTCTGTGAGTTATGTATGTTATCTGGGCAGGAAGGCCAAATGTTCTGGGCCATATATCCTGGACTGTATGTCCAGGATGACGAAGAAAGGCAGACCTGTAGCTTATCTGCTGTCTCTTTTGTTTAAATTTTCTAGACATGAAGAAAGGCATGTTTATAGTTTATTTCCTCTTTTTTTTTTTCTTTTTGCTTTCACCTGGTCCTGCCAGCCTGACTCCTTTTCCCTAATTAGGACTCCACATTCTCCTCCTTGTTATAAGGCACTTGAAAGTCCTGCCCAAGGCCTGAGATTCTGAGAATTAAAATGCCTGGGCTAGAAATGCAAATATGTAAAGACCAGGACAGCTTAGCCGGGCCTGAGGGCTCACCTGAAACTCTCCTCAGAGACTGCAAAGCATTGGTTGTACTCCAAGTCTGCTATGAGGAGGAGGCCTTCCAGGAAACGCTTTTGAAAATTGCCTATCATCAGGCCTGAAATATCACTCATAGTGGTTTTTAAAAAAATTTAAGTTAGTCAAATTTAGCAGTGGGGAGTCGTATGCCAATTGTAGTGACACTACTAAGTTCGGATAATCCACTACCGTCAGAGCAGCCCCACTCACAGGTTTTTAATCAGGACACAGATTATTCACAACTCACTGACTGCACACGGCAACAACTGTAAACAATAAATTTCTGTTTTTTCCTTCTTTCATCTTCTTTTTTTTTTTTTTTTAATAGAGATGAGGTCTTACCATATGCCCAGGCTGGTCTCGAGCTCCTGGACTCAAGCAATCCTCCTGTCTCAGCCTCTCAAGGTGTTGGGATTACGGGCTTGAGCCACTGCACCCAGCCCCGTCAAATACATTTCACTGTGAAGGGTGTGACTATGGAAGTATGGTCAAGTTAACACAGAGCATTGAGCAACTGATTGTCAGGGGAAGTCACAGCTTCCTGGAGCTGACGTTTGCTCCCTGCTGTATCAGATAAACAAAAAATTTGTAGGACAAGTGAGCAGGAATCTTTATTTGTTAATTTAAAAATAAATGTTCATAAGGAAAACTATTTTGACAGTGGGGAAAAAAAAGAAATAAAGTATCGATACAAGCAATAATTTGGATAGATCGCAAGAGCATTATGCTGAATTTAAAAAGTCAATCTCAAAAGGTCACCTGCGGTGTGAAGCTGTGTATGTAACATTCTTGAAATTACAGCATCAGGGAGATGGAAAACCCCAGGCAGGGGCTGAGAAGGGGTGGGTGTGACCATGAAGGGGTGACAGAGGGAGATCTTCGTGATGATGGGGTAGTTCTATACCTTGATGTGATGGTGGTTACCTGAATTTAAACATGTGACAAAACACATAGAACTATACACACAAGACAGAAGGAACGTAGAGTATAGAATGCTGCCTTCTAACTAAATGACCTAAAATTTTAAAATTTCCTTATTGAAAAAAACACTTATAAAGTCCAGGATGGTTCTTTGGGACAACTAAGTTATGAAATATGAAACTGACCTGACACCTGTAGCTCCCAGATGGCCTTCTGGTAGTAAGACTGGGAACTAATCCTGCACCCATAGAGGCCAGCATCCAACACAGTAATGTTTTCCAGCCTCAGAGAGATGCGCCCCTCCGCAATAGAATCCTTCACCAGTTTTGTCCTGCCTTGATACTGTGGCATCTGCATAAATGGCTGGTCCTTCCCGTCCCTGTAGAGGTGGACCACGCTAGAGAACTGGCCCCTGAAGAACCGCACTTCCATGGCCTCTGCATTGGTCTTAGGAGACAGGAAACAGGAGAATGCTGCGTCCTCCCCCACCAAGGCCTGGACAGGCTTGTCTGGCCCAAACACCTGCCACTGCCCTGTGGGAAGACATACAAAAGATAAATCATCAAAACCCTTTGTAGTGAGGGGGAGGAGCCAAGATGGCCGAATAGGAACAGCTCCGGTCTACAGCTCCCAGAGTGAGCGACGCAGAACATGGGTGATTTCTGCATTTCCATCTGAGGTACCGGGTTCATCTCACTAGGGAGTGCCAGACAGTGGGCGCAGGTCAGTGGGTGCGCGCACCGTGCACGAGCCGAAGCAGGGCGAGGCATTGCCTCACTCGGGAAGCGCAAGGGGTCAGGGAGTTCCCTTTCCGAGTCAAAGAAAGGGGTGACGGACGCACCTGGAAAATCGGGTCACTCCCACCCGAATATTGCGCTTTTCCGATGGGCTTAAGAAACGGCGCACCACGAGATTATATCCCACACCTGGCTCAGAGGGTCCTATGACCACAGAGTCTCGCTGATTGCTAGCACAGCAGTCTGAGATCAAACTGCAAGGCAGCAGCGAGGCTGGGGGAGGGGCGCCCGCCATTGCCCAGGCTTGATTAGGTAAACAAAGCAGCTCCAACTGGGTGGAGCCCACCACAGCTCAAGGAGGCCTGCCTGCCTCTGTAGGCTCCACCTCTGGGGGCAGGGCACAGACACACAAAAAGACAGCAGTAACCTCTGCAGACTTAAATGTCCCTGTCTGACAGCTTTGAAGAGAGCAGTGGTTCTCCCAGCACGCAGCTGGAGATCTGAGAACTGGCAGACTGCCTCCTCAAGTGAGTCCCTGACCCCTGACCCCCGAGCAGCCTAACTGGGAGGCACCCCCCAGCAGGGGCACACTGACACCTCACACGGCAGGGTACTCCAACAGACCTGCAGCTGAGGGTCCTCTCTGTTAGAAGGAAAACAAACAGAAAGGACATCCACACCAAAAACCCATCTGTACATCACCATCATCAAAGACCAAAAGTAGACAAAACCACAAAGATGGGGAAAAAACAGAACAGAAAAACTGGAAACTCTAAAAAGCAGAGCGCCTCTCCTCCTCCAAAGGAACGCAGTTCCTCACCAGCAACGGAACAAAGCTGGATGGAGAATGACTTTGACGAGCTGAGAGAAGAAGGCTTCAGATGATCAAATTACTCTGAGCTACGGGAGGACATTCAAACCAAAGGCAAAGAAGTTGAAAACTTTGAAAAAAAATTAGAAGAATGTATAACTAGAATAACCAATACAGAGAAGTGCTTAAAGGAGCTGATGGAGCTGAAAACCAAGGCTCAAGAACTACGTGAAGAATGCAGAAGCCTCAGGAGCCGATGCGATCAACTGGAAGAAAGGGTATCAGCGATGGAAGATGAAATGAATGAAATGAAGCAAGAAGGGAAGTCTAGAAAAAAAAGAATAAAAAGAAATGAGCAAAGCCTCCAAGAAATATGGGACTATGTGAAAAGACCAAATCTACGTCTGATTGGTGTACCTGAAAGTGATGGGGAGAATGGAACCAAGTTGGAAAACACTCTGCAGTATATTATCCAGGAGAACTTCCCCAATCTAGCAAGGCAGGACAACGTTCAGATTCAGGAAATACAGAGAACGCCACAAAGATACTCCTCGAGAAGAGCAACTCCAAGACACATAATTGTCAGATTCACCAAAGTTGAAATGAAGGAAAAAATGTTAAGGGCAGCCAGAGAGAAAGGTCGGGTTACCCTCAAAGGGAAGCCCATCAGACTAACAGCGGATCTCTCGGCAGAAACCCTACAAGCCAGAAGAGAGTGGGGGCCAATATTCAACATTCTTAAAGAAAAGAATTTTCAACCCAGAACTTCATATCCAGCCAAACTAAGCTTCATAAGTGAAGGAGAAATAAAATACTTTACAGACAAGCAAATGCTGAGAGATTTTGTCACCACCAGGCCTGCCTTACAAGAGCTCCTGAAGGAAGCACTAAACATGGAAAGGAACAACCGGTACCAGCCACTGCAAAATCATGCCAAAATGTAAAGACCATCGAGAGTAGGAAGAAACTGCATCAACTAACGAGCAAAATAACCAGCTAACATCATAATGACAGGATCAAATTCACACATAACAATATTAACGTTAAATGTAAATGGACTAAATGCTCCAATTAAAAGACACAGACTGGCAAATTGGATAAAGAGTCAAGACCCATCAGTGTGCTGTATTCAGGAAACCCATCTCACGTGCAGAGGCACACATAGGCTCAAAATAAAAGGATGGAGGAAGATCTACCAAGCCAATGGAAAACAAAAAAAGGCAGGGGTTGCAATCCTAGTCTCTGATAAAACAGACTTTAAACCAACAAAGATCAAAAGAGACAAAGAAGGCCATTACATAATGGTAAAGGGATCAATTCAACAAGAAGAGCTAACTCTCCTAAATATATATGCACCCAATACAGGAGCACCAAGATTCGTAAAGCAAGTCCTGAGTGACCTACAAAGAGACTTAGACTCCCACACATTAATAATGGGAGACTTTAACACCCCACTGTCAACATTAGATAGATCAACGAGACAGAAAGTCAAAAAGGATACCCAGGAATTGAACTCAGCTCTGCACCAAGCGGACCTAATAGACATCTACAGAACTCTCCACCGCAAATCAACAGAATATACATTTTTTTCAGCACCACACCACACCTGTTACAAAATTGACCACATACTGGAAGTAAAGCTCTCCTCAGCAAATGTAAAAGAACAGAAATTATAACAAACTATCTCTCAGACCACAGTGCAATCAAACTAGAACTCAGGATTAAGAATCTCAAAGCCGCTCAACTACATGGAAACTGAACAACCTGCTCCTGAATGACTACTGGGTACATAACGAAATGAAGGCAGAAATAAAGATGTTCTTTGAAACCAACGAGAACAAAGACACAACATACCAGAATCTCTGGGACACATTCAAAGCAGTGTGTAGAGGGAAATTTATAGCACTAAATGCCCACAAGAGAAAGCAGGAAAGATCCAAAATTGACACCCTAACATCACAATTAAAAGAACTAGAAAAGCAAGAGCAAACACATTCAAAAGCTAGCAGAAGGCAAGAAATAACTAAAATCAGAGCAGAACTGAAGGAAATAGAGACACAAAAAACCCTTCAAAAAATTAATGAATCCAGGAGCTGGTTTTTTGAAAGGATCAACAAAATTGATAGACCGCTAGCAAGACTAATAAAGAAAAAAAGAGAGAAGAATCAAATAGATGCAATAAAAAATGATAAAGGGGATATCACCACCGATCCCACAGAAATACAAACTACCATCAGGGAATACTACAAACACCTCTATGCAAATAAACTAGAAAATCTAGAAGAAATGGATAAATTCCTCGACACATACACTCTCCCAAGACTAAACCAGGAAGAAGTTGAATCTCTGAATCGACCAATAACAGGAGCTGAAATTGTGGCAATAATCAATAGCTTACCAACCAAAAAGAGTCCAGGACCAGATGGATTCACAGCCGAATTCTACCAGAGGTACAAGGAGGAACTGGTACCATTCCTTCTGAAACCATTCCATTCAATAGAAAAAGAGGGAATCCTCCCTAACTCATTTTATGAGGCTAGCATCATTCTGATACCAAAGCCAGGCAGAGACACAACAAAAAAAGAGAATTTTAGACCAATATCCTTGATGAACATTGATGCAAAAATCCTCAATAAAATACTGGCAAACTGAATCCAGCAGCACATCAAAAAGCTTATCCACCATGGTCAAGTGGGCTTCATCCCTGGGATGCAAGGCTGGTTCAATATACGCAAATCAATAAATGTAATCCAGCATATAAACGGAGCCAAAGACAAAAACCACATGATTATCTCAATAGATGCAGAAAAAGCCTTTGACAAAATTCAACAACCCTTCATGCTAAAAACTCTCAATAAATTAGGTATTGATGGGACGTATTTCAAAATAATAAGAGCTATCTATGACAAACCCACAGCCAATATCATACTGAATGGGCAAAAACTGGAAGCATTCCCTTTGAAAACTGGCACAAGACAGGGATGCCCTCTCTCACCACTCCTATTCAACATAGTGCTGGAAGTTCTGGCCAGGGCAATTAGGCAGGAGAAGGAAATAAAGGGTATTCAATTAGGAAAAGAGGAAGTCAAATTGTCCCTGTTTGCAGACGACATGATTGTATATCTAGAAAACCCCACTGTCTCAGCCCAAAATCTCCTTAAGCTGATAAGCAACTTCAGCAAAGTCTCAGGATACAAAATCAATGTACAAAAATCACAAGCGTTCTTATACACCAACAACAGACAAACAGAGAGCCAAATCATGAGTGAACTCCCATTCACAATTGCTTCAAAGAGAATAAAATACCTAGGAATACAACTTACAAGGGATGTGAAGGACCTCTTCAAGGAGAACTACAAACCACTGCTCAAGGAAATAAAAGAGGATACAAACAAATGGAAGAACATTCCATGCTCATGGGTAGGAAGAATCAATATCGTGAAAATGGCCATACCGCCCAAGGTAATTTACAGATTCAATGCCATCCCCATCAAGCTACCAATGACTTTCTTCACAGAATTGGAAAAAACTACTTTAAAGTTCATATGGAACCAAAAAAGAGCCTGCATCACCAAGTCAATCCTAAGCCAAAAGAACAAAGCTGGAGGCATCACACTACCTGACTTCAAACTATACTACAAGGCTACAGTAACCAAAACAGCATGGTACTGGTACCAAAACAGAGATATAGATCAATGGAACAGAACAGAGCCCTCAGAAATAACGCTGCATATCTACAACTATCTGATCTTTGACAAACCTGACAAAAACAAGCAATGGGGAAAGGATTCCCTATTTAATAAATGGTGCTGGGAAAACTGGCTAGCCATATGTAGAAAGCTGAAACTGGATCCCTTCCTTACACCTTATACAAAAATCAATTCAAGATGGATTAAAGACTTAAACGTTAGACCTAAAACCATAAAAACCCTAGAAGAAAACCTAGGCATTACCATTCAGGACATAGGCATGGGCAAGGACTTCATGTCTAAAACACCAAAAGCAATGGCAACAGAAGACAAAATTGACAAATGGGATCTAATTAAACTAAAGAGCTTCTGCACAGCAAAAGAAACTACCATCAGAGTGAACAGGCAACCTACAAAATGGGAGAAAATTTTCGCAACCTACTCATCTGACAAAGGGCTAATATCCAGAATCTACAATGAACTCAAACAAATTTACAAGAAAAAAACAAACAACCCCATCAAAAAGTGGGCAAAGGACATGAACAGACACTTCTCAAAAGAAGACATTTATGCAGCCAAAAAACACATGAAAAAATGTTCATCATCACTGGCCATCAGAGAAATGCAAATCAAAACCACAATGAGATACCATCTCACACCAGTTAGAATGGCAATCATCAAAAAGTCAGGAAACAACAGGTGCTGGAGAGGATTGGAGAAATAGGAACACTTTTACACTGTTGGTGGGACTGTAAACTAGTTCAACCATTGTGGAAGTCAGTGTGGCGATTCCTCAGGGAACTAGAACTGGAAATACCATTTGACCCAGCCATCCCATTACTGGGTATATACCCAAAGGACTATAAATCATGCTGCTATAAAGACACATGCACACGTATGTTTATTGCGGCACTATTCACAATAGCAAAGACTTGGAACCAACCCAAATGTCCAACAATGATAGACTAGATTAAGAAAATGTGACACATATACACCATGGAATACTATGCAGCCATAAAAAATGATGAGTTCATGTCCTTTGTAGGGACATGGATGAAATTAGAAATCATCATTCTCAGTAAACTATCGCAAGAACAAAAAACCAAACACCGCATATTCTCACTCATAGGTGGGAATTGAACAATGAGATCACATGGACACAGGAAGGGGAATATCACACTCTGGGGACGTTGTGGGGTAGGGGGAGGGGGGAGGGATAGCATCGGGAGATATACCTAATGCTAGATGACGAGTTAGTGGGTGCAGCGCACCAGCATGGCACATGTATACATATGTAACTAACCTGCACAATGTGCACATGTACCCTAAAACTTAAAGTATAAAAGCAAAAACAAAAAAAAAAACCCTTTATAGTGTGACCTACTCAGGGCTCCATTGGGCTGGGCTGGAGATGTGCATCAGGGGGAAACATTCATCACAATCCTATTTCTAAAGCCAGTGACTTGCATTTGTGTATCTCCTTACATTTGACAAACCATGTCCACATCAGTTACTTCATTCGATCTTGAGGAGCACCTGCAGAAATGTGTATTATTAATGTTTTTATTTTTAAGATGAGAAAACCATGTTATCCAGAGGAAAAAGTCTCTTTCTGAATGTAGACCCTTTGATTCCAGGAGGTTCTATTGCCACATTCTCTCCCATCTGCCCATTTGCTTCAATTAAAAAAAAAACCCAAACATCCCCATTTCCATCGTCCTTGCTGAAAACCAAAGTTGACGTCTTTCTAATGGCCCAGAGAAGAGTATGGGCCATAAAGTCTCCAGTTTGCGGCAATTCGTTAAGGTTTCCTTCAAGCACAATATTATATCAATATTTTATGGCTACTATAGAGGAATGTTACATTTCTGCCCATGGCGCACACAATTATTTGTACTTCCTTAGTTTTTTTTGAAAATCTGCTTGTTCTGCCAAGTTCTGAAAGACATGCTGTGACACTGAAACAAGATTTTGCAGTCTGTTTTCTGTAAATTTGTTCTTTAGCACGTTCACGTGTGACTTATATTTTCCATAGCATGTGCCTTTTACGCTTGTGTAGTAATTTTTTCCACTTTATTTTAGCACTGAAAGGTGGTTCGCCTAGTGCTTTGTCAACATGTCTTGCCTTCATTTTTTTTAAAAAAAATTCTTGGTACATGTATGTCCTCACCTCGCTTTTGAAACTTTCTTCATTGTCTTGCTTCAAGTGTGACAATTACATGTTTTCTGTGAGCCTCCCCTGCACAGCTCTTGGCTCTCTGGGGACAGGGCCTGATTTTCTTGCTCAGCATAGTACCCACTTGATCAGCACAGAGCCAGTCACACAGAACAGGCTCCACAGTTATGCATGTGAACGGTGAGCCCCATTTCCTTTCTTACTTGCTCATCTGTTTAACAATCATTTGAGTAATTTTCCTGGTGTAAATCACTCTTACTACCCTGTAAGGATTACACTGCTTCTTAGAGACCACAGACTATGGAGGCCCACTCCCTTCACCTTCTAAGTACCCACCCCCTTTGACTGGCAGTGTCTCTTGATTCATTCACATGTATCCATTTATGGTATATGGATATACCTGTGTGTGCTGTCTGCATGTGCATCAGAGGGAAGGTGAATTACATGTGTGAATTTCTAGATCAGTGGATACTTTTTCATTTTAGCACTAATTTTTTAGTTTAATTACATTTTATAAATCTTGCTGAAATGTATTTCACTCATGCATCTTTAAGAGTATTATTAAATGAGGCATGACTTTGCAGCCTGGTGTCTGACCAGCTTCTGACCTGGTGTAGCAGATGTTGAGGCCCTGCTCCTCACCACCCAACCCTGAGTCCCCCTGCAGTGGGATGGGCATTTCCCTGCCTGCTGACAGCTCCGTCCCTGGAGCCTGGCCTCTGCCTCTCTGCTGAGGGCTTCCTGCCACCCTTGGAACCTACTTAGCCCTGGCACAAGGCAGCTCAGAAGGTTTGCGATTTTAGCAGTCCTGGGCGGCACATCTCACCCAGTGGGGAAAGGAGACAGTAGATGTTGGAATGACTCTGAGCCACCATCTATAAAGTTCCTCCAAAGGTCCCAGTGGGACTGGGTCCCAGTTGCCACCGCAGCAACGCTCATTAGCGCACCCTCTATGGCTTTCCCCCTACTGGCTTCACTCTCTCCACTCCCTCACTTTGTTTCCCAGAATCACCTGCTCAACGAATCACTGGCAGGAAGGCCCTTGTCTTAGGTCAGGTTTGGGGACCCAGCGTATGCCAGCTGGGCTGCTATGGATGCTGCCTTCAGGGCTGTGTGGGGCTCTTGAGGCAAGGAAACATTTTTCAGGGTACCTCCATTTCTCCGGCCAGCCCTTGCTGCTGTCACCTCTCTTGCCTATAACATCTCCTTTCACTCCTTCCACTTCCTTCCCTTGAAAATAAGAAAGGAACAAGACTGTTGCTGCAACATGCCATGCACCCGTGCAGCTGTGTGCACTCTACATGCACAAGCTCATGCAGTCCTCACCACAGCCCCAGCAGGAATGTGATCGTATCTCCATGTCATCATAAGCAAACCAACACCTAAGGAAGCTGTGAACAATAAAGCTCACAAGAAAATGAAATAAGAGTTTTTAAAAATAAAATGTTTCTGTCTCCAAGATCATTTCCAGGATGTCCTGCTGCCTCACCCGGAAACAGAAGGGAAACAAAGAAGCTCGTCAGAAAATAAATGAAAACAAACTGAAACGAGAGCGTCTCCTGTTAGTAACACATATGGGTTTTTGTTTTAAGGAAACATGCTCTATGTTTTGATTGCCCTTATTTCTGTTTTCTTAGCTTCATTTAGCAAAAAAGATATAGGTGGACAGGTGGCAGGATGAACCTTCACAGACAGAAAGTGAACACAGTCAATCGAATCTTCTGTGGCTGGGTACTGACCATCTAGCCACCAGCATTCTACCCCAACCTCAAGCTTCCTCTGTGAATTGTATTCAGTCACTCAACATCCTATATACTAGGTTCTGTGTTAACAGTAACTGGAAGGAGAAAGAAGAGTGGATTTCTTCCCAGAATATGCCAGGTTTCAGCTAATTTCTCACCTCAAGACCTGTACACCTTCCTCCACCCTCGTGTCTCATACCACAGACATTTCTAACTCAGCATGTCTTTAGCTGGATACATTGTCTTTTCCCCAAAAATCCTAACTGTGTCTCTTCCCAGATGGACATCCATGTCAGCAACCTTGGTGCTCCAATAACCCTGCCTACACCACTCAGCCCATCTGGGAGAAACACTGAATTTATTCACCTTAACACGTTAGGTGTGTCCCCGTCAACGATCACGGTGCGTCTTCAACACCCGTGTTTCCATTATTTGGGGGCTACTATAATTGTTTCCACAGCGCCTGATCCTTCCCCAGGCTGAGGCTAGGAGAAGCCAAAGGAATGGAAACGACAAAGATGCCTTCATTCCATTATGCTGCAACCATTGTAGCTAAAGAACTCAAACTGTTAGTTAGTAAGGAGGAAACAAAGATGAGTCTTACCTGATCCCAGCTTGAGGAGACTCAGAACCAAACTGAGCATGAGAGCCATGGATGTGTTCTGTGAATGGACCTCACGGCATGGAAACGGATGACAGGAGAGGTGACGGATGGATTAGAGAGAAGAGGAGAACTGGCCTAATGCTCAAGGTGCGGAAGCCACGGAGAGGCTCTGCGTGAGCGGAGGGCAAACTGCGCTGTTCTGAGAGTCTACTCCATCGAGACACAGCTGTCATGTACCAGAAGTGTAGGGACTCTAGACTTTGAACCACTGCATAAATGTCTATATCTTATCAAGGAAGCAAAGATAGAAATAGTGTGGATAAGATTGGAGGTGAACTTTGTCCTGGGCAAAACGATGCCCTGTGTGGGTGAAACAGGAATGTCAGATGCGGAAATACTTTTCACGTCCAATCTGGCAGGCAGGGCTGTATGGCCATGGGATCTAGTCCTGAAAAACCTCATGTTAGCACTGGATAGTTTGGTGTCCAAGTAAATAGGCCATGCTCCATTAGTAGTAGCCTACAGCAGGTGACTTGACATTTCCTGGCACAGTCTGAGGTCCTTTTGCTTACCCCTCCATTCTCTGAAGTTCAGGGCCAGGACTGTAATCATGAGGCCAGATAAAAATAACTTTCCAGAACAAAACAGATCCTTAGTGTTAAACATCTGATACATTGGGAAAGGTGCCTGGGCAGGTTCAGACATGAGGAAACTTATTTATTATATAAACTAAGTTCCAGGGCAGCCACAATGAGAGATTTGCAGTCTTTTTAAGCACACGGAAACTCACAAAGTCACCACTTAACTAGATCAGAATGAAAATTTCCACAGATAACCATCAAAATAAACATACTCTAATCATAATGCAATTAAAATTAAAAAGTAATTCAAAAACATAGGAAACTCTATACACTAAGAAATTCTTATGTAACAATTTAAAACAACTCACGAGACTAAATCACAATAAAAGTTAGCATCTAGAATAGGACAAAATGAAAACACTGCATTTAGTCTAAAATCTAGAACACTGACAACACCAAATGCTGGTGAGGATGCGGAGCAACAGGAATTCTCACTGATTGCTGACAGGAATGCAAGACGGTACGGTTGTTCTAGAAGACAGTTCAGCAATTTCCTGCAAAATTAAACATACTTTTATCACCTAATCCAGCAACTGCACTGCTTTTTATTCACCTAAATGACTTGAAAACATATGTCCACATGAAAAATTGCACATGAATGTTTATAGCAGCTTTATTCATAATTGCCAAAAATGTTTGCAACCAGATATCATTCAATAATGATACATAGAATGTATACACAAACTATGGTACATCTATACAATGGAATATTACTCTGTGATAAAAAAAAAAAGGAAATGAGTTGTTGAATGTTGTAAGCAAGAGAGTAGAATAGAAAATTATTGATCTCATGCTGTCTCAGAAATACAGATTTACCAAGGATATATAGACCAAA
Source organism: Homo sapiens (assembly GCF_000001405.40). NCBI lineage: Eukaryota > Metazoa > Chordata > Mammalia > Primates > Hominidae > Homo > Homo sapiens. The sequence continues at coordinate 180,897,883 of NC_000005.10, read as the reverse complement.
ATACCTTTTTATGAAGCTGCTGAGAAGGCACAGTATCCTCTCCATTCCAGTGGCAGCTATGCCCCACCCATGGCCATTCGAAGCCTAGGCCTAGGCCCAGTGGAACGGTCATGACCCAGGCTTCTGAACCTACAGGCTGCTCTGGCCCCCAAGGACCAAACAGTCCAACCCAGCAAGGAAGCCAAGCCTGGCCTGGTGAAGCAGTTGTACCCTCTCAAGCATGAGCCAAGCACCTTGACCCCAGAGAAGCATGCGCAATAGAATGGCAACAATACCCCCTTGTGTGCACACTAACTGGGGGCCCCAGACTCAGCCCCAGGAAAGCAATGTCTGAGATGGTGGAGCAGCTGTGCTCCCTTGGCACATAAAGCGGCCTGGTGCCCCACCTCCAGAAAAGCTATGCCCAAGCCAGAACACTGGTCTTATTCCCTCAGCACACAAACCAGCCCTGCATCCCACCCGAGGGAAGCTGTACCTGAGCTGGTGGAGTAGTTGTGCTCTCTTGGTGCCTGAGCTCAGTGTAATCTACTTTGCTACCACCACTCCCACAAATTACTGCAGTACGGGCCACTGAGGCATCCACTTGTCACTGACATTGATTATAGCTGAGAAGCTTCACAGAGACTACGCTACTGTGCCAGCCAGAAGCAGAGCCGATACACCCTACTCAGCACCCGAGGACCTATCAACAAGTGAAAGTTTTTTCTTAGAAAAGCTACTTTATAAGTTAGGAGAGGCAAATGTTCTACCAGATGCACATATATCAACACAGGGACACAAGAAACATGAAAAAGCAAAGAAACATGACTCTCCCCAAAAAGGCTGAGGCAGGAAAATCACTTGAATCTGAGAGGTGGAGGTTGCAGTGAGCCGAGATCGTGCCACTGCACTCCAGCCTGGTTGACAGAGTGAGACTCCATCTCAAAATAATAATAATAATAATAATAATAATAATAATAATATAACATTTTTAAAAGTCAGCAAGATTTGAACTAGAAATACCATTTGACCCAGCCATCCCATTCCTGGGCACATACCCAAAGGATTATAAAACATGCTGCTATAAAGACACATGCACACGTATGTTTATTGCGACACTATTCACAATAGCAAAGACTTGGAACCAACCCAAATGTCCAACAATGATAGACTGGATTAAGAAAATGTGGCACATATACACCATGGAATACTATGAAGCCATAAAAAATGATGAGTTCATGTCCTTTGTAGGGACATGGATGAAATTAGAAATCATCATTCTCAGTAAACTATCGCAAGGACAAAAAACCAAACACTGCATGTTCTCACTCATAGGTGGGAATCAAACAATGAGAACATGTGGACACAGGAAGGGGAACATCACACACCGGGGCCTGTTGTGGGGTGGGGGGAGGGGGGAGGGATAGCATTAGGAGATATACCTAATGTTAAATGACGAGTTACTGGGTGCAGCACACCAACATGGCACATGTATACATATGTAACAAACCTGCACGTTGTGCACATGTACCATAAAACTTAAAGTATAATTAAAAAAATAAAAAATAAATAAAAAATAAAAAGTCAGCAAGATTCAAGATAATATAGATAGACTATTGAAAGAAATCAGGAAAAAAAAATCATGGTATAAATTAGAAATTCAGCAAAGAAATAGACATCAAGAAAAATTAAACAGATGTCTTGCCATTAGATTATTCAATGAAGGAAATGAAAAAATACAATAGAGAGCTTCAATGGCAGACTAGATCAAGCTTAAGGACAAAAATAAAGTGAAAAGAAAGAATTTTTTCATGCAAACGGTAAAAAAAGAAAGCAGGGGTGACTATATTTATGTCAGATAAAGTAGGCCAGAAGTCAAAAACTGTTACAAGAGACTAAGATTGTCTTTAAGTAATAATAAGCAAATAAGTTAATCAGACTGTAACAATTATAAATATGCAACCAACATCAAGGTGTGTAAACATATAAAGCAAATATTAGTGGACATGAGGAAAACATAGCAAAACAAAAATACTGGGGAATTTCAATACCCCTTTATTATTATTATTATTATATTTTAAGTTCTGGGATACATGTGCAGGAAGTGCAGGTTTAGGTATATATGTGCCATGGTGGTTTGCTGCACCCATCAAACTATCATCAACATTATGTAATTCTCCTAATGCTACCCCTCCCTCCCCTAGCTCCCTACCCTCCGACAGGCCCTGGTGTGTGATGTTCCCCTCCCTGTGTCCATGTGTTCTCATTGTTCAACTCCCACTTATGAGTGAGAACATGCACTGTTTGGTTTTCTGTTCTTGTGTTAGTTTGCTGAGAATGATGGTGTCCAGCTTCACCCATGTCTCTGCAAAGGACATGAACTCATCCTTTTTTATGGCTGCATAGTATTCCATAGTATATATGTGCCACATTTTCTTTATCCAGCCTATCATTGATGGGCATTTGGGTTGGTTCCAAGTCTTTGCTATTGTGAACAGTGTCACAATAAACATATGTGTACATGTGTCTTTATAGTAGAATGATTTGTAATCCTTTGGGTATATACAGTAATGGGATTGCTGAGTCAAATGGTGTTTCTTGTTCTAGATCCTTGAGGAATCGCCACACTGTCTTCCACAATGGTTGAACTAATTTACACTCCTACCAACAGGCTAAAAGCATTCCTATTTCTTCACATCCTCTCCAGCATCTGTCATTTCCTGACTTTTTAATGATCACCATTCTCACTGGCACAAGATGGTATCTCATTGTGGTTTTGATTTACATTTCTCTAATGACCAGTGATAATGAGCTTTTTTTCATGTTTGTTGGCCATATAAATGTGTTCTTTTGAGAGGTGTCTGTTCATATCCTTCACCCACTTTTTGATCAGATTTTTTTTTCTTGTAGATTTGTTTAACTTCTTTGTAGATTCTGGATATTAGCCCTTTGTCAGATGGATAGATTGCAAAAATGTTCTCGCATTCTGTAGGTTACCTGTGCACTCTGATGATCATTTCTTTTGCTGTGCAGAAGCTCTTTAGTTTAACTAGATCCCATTTGTCTATTTTGGCTTTTGTTGCCATTGCTTTTGGTGTTTTAGTCATGAAGTCTTTGCCCATGCCTATGTCCTGAATAGTATTACCTAGGTTTTCTTTTAGGGTTTTTATGGTTTTAGGTTTTATGTTTAAGTCTTTAATCCATCTTGAGTTAATTTTTGTAATAAGGTATAAGGAAGGAATCCAGTTTCAGTTTTCTGCATATGGCCAGCCAATTTTCTAACACCATTTATTAAATAGGGAATCCTTTCCCCACTGCTTGTTTTTCAACAGGTTTGTCAAAGATCACATGATTGTAGATGTGTGGTGTTATTTCTGAGGACTTGTTCTGTTCCGTTGGTCTATATATCTGTTTTCGTACCAGTACCATGCTGTTTTGGTTACTGTAGCCTTGTAGTATAGTTTGAAGTCACGTAGCATGATGCCTTCAGTTTTGTTCTTTTTGCTGAGGATTGTCTTGGCTATGCGGGCTCTTTTTTAGTTCCATATGAAATTTAAAGTAGTTTTTTATAATTCTGTGAAGAAAGTCAATGGTAGCTTGATGGGAATAGCATTGAATCTATAAATTACTTTGGGGAGTATGGCCATTTTCACAATATTGATTCTTCCTATCCATGAGCATGGAATGTTTTTTCCATTTGTTTGTGTCCTGTCTTATTTCCATGAGCAGTGGTTTGTAGTTCTCCTTGAAGAGGTCCTTCACATTTCTTGTAAGTTGTATTCCTAGGTATTTTATTCTCTCTGTAGCAATTTTGAATGGAAGTTCACTTATGATTTGGCTCTCTGTTTGTCTATTATTAGTGTATAGAAATGCTTGTGATTTTTGCACATTGATTTTGTATCCTGAGACTTTGCTGATGTTGCTTATCAGCTGAAGGAGATTTGGGGATGAGATGCTGGGATTTTCTAAATATGCTATCCTATCATCTGCAAACAGAGAAAATTTGACTTCCTCTCTTCCTGTTTGAATACTCTTTACTTCTTCCGCTTGCCTGATTGCTGTGGCCAGAACTTCCAATACTATGTTCAATAGGAGTGGTGAGAGAGGGCATGCTTGCCTTGTGCTGGTTTTCAAAGGGAATGCTTCCAGCTTTCGCCAATTCAGTATGATATTGGCTGTGGGTTGTTATAAATACCTCTTATTATTTTGAGATACGTTCCATCAATACCTAGTTTATTAGGAGTTGTTAGCACGAAGGGCTATTGAATTTTGTCGAAGGCCTTTTCTGCATCTATTGAGATATTCATGTGGTTTTTGTCGTTGATTCTGTTTATGTGGTGGATTACATTTATTGATTTGTGTGTGTTGAACCAGCCTTGCATCCCAGGAATGAAGCAGACTTGATCATGGTGGATTAGCTTTTTGATGTGCTGATGGATTTGGTTTGCCAATATTTTATTGAGGATTTTCTCATCAATGTTCATCAGGGATATTGGCCAGAAATTTTCCTTTTTTGTTGTGTCTCTGCCAGGTTTTGGTATCAGGATGATGCTGGCCTCATAAAATGAGTTAGAGAGGAGTCCCTCTTTTTCCATTGTTTGGAATAGTTTCAGAAAGAATGATACCAGCTCCTCTTTGTACCTCTGGTAGAATTCGGCTGTGAATCCATCTGGTCTTGGGCTTTTTTTGGTTGGTAGGCTATTAACTACTGCCTCAATTTCAGAACTTGTTATTGGTCTATTTAGGGATTCGACTTCTTTCTGGTTTAGTCTTGGGAGGGTGTATGTGTCCAGGAATTTATCCATTTCTTCTAGATTTTCTAGTTTATTTGCATAGAGGTGTTTATAGTATTCTCTGATGGTAGTTTGTATTTCTGTGGGATCAGTGGTGATATCCCCTTTATCATTTGTTACTATGTCTGTCTGATTCTTCTCTCTTTTCTTCTTTATTAGTCTGGCTAGCAGTCTATCTATTTTGATAATCTTTTCTAAAACAACTCCTGGATTCATTGATTTGTTGAAGGGTTTTTGTGTCTCTAGCTCCTTGAGTTCTGCTCTGATCTTAGTTAATTCTTGTCTTCTGCTAGCTTTTGAATTTGTTTGCTCTTGCTTCTCTAGTTCTTTTAATTGCGACGTTAGGGTGTCAGTTTCAGCTCTTTCCTGCTTTCTCCTATGGGCATTTAGTGCTGTAAATTTCTCTCTAAACACTGCTTTAGCTGTGTCCCAGAGATTCTGGTACATTGTGCCTTTTTTATTGGTTTCAAAGAACTTATTTATTTCTGCCTTAATTTTGTTATTTATCCAGTAGTCATTCAGGAGCAGCTTGTTCAGTTTTCATGTATTTGTGTGGTTTTGAGTGAATTTCTTAATCCTGAGTTATAATATGATTGCACTGTGGTCTGAGAGACTGTTTGTTATGATTTCCATTCTTTTGCATTTGCTGAGGAGTGCTTTACTTCCAATTATGTGATCAATTTTAGAATAAGTACAATGTGGTGCTGAGAAGAATTTATATTCTGTTGATTTGGGGTGGAGAGTTCTGTAGATTTCTGTTAGGTCTCCGTGGTCCAGAGCTGAGTTCAATTCCTGAATATCCTTCTTAATTTTCTGTCTCATTGATCTGCCTAATATTGACAGTGGGGTGTTAACGCCTCCCACTATTATTGTGTGGGAGTCTAAGTCTCTTTGTAGGTCTCTAAAAACTTGCTTTATGAATCTGGGTGCTCCTGTATTGGGTGCATATATGTTGAGGATAGTTATCTTTCCTTGTTGCATTGATCCCTTTACCATTATGTAATGCCCTTCTTTGTCTCTTTTGATCTTGGTTGGTTTAAAATCTATTTTTCAGTGACTAGGATTGCAACACCTGCTTTTTTTTTCCTTTCCATTTGCTTGGTAAATATTCCTCCATCCCTTTATTTTGAGCCTATGTGCGTCTTTGCACATGAGATGGGTCTCCTGAATACAGCACACAGATGGGTCTTGACCCTTTATCCTATTTGCCAGTCTGTGTCTTTTAATTGGGGCATTTAGCCCATTTACATTTAAGGTCAATATTGTTATGTTTGAATGTGATCCTGTCATTATGATGCTAGCTGGTTATTTTGCCCATTAGTTGATGCAGTTTCTTCACAGTGTTGATGGTCTTTACAATTAGGTATGTTTTTGCAGTGGCTGGTTCTGGTTTTTCCTTTACATATTTAGTGCTTCCTTCAGGAGCTCTTGTAAGGCAGGCCTGGTGGTGACAAAATCTCTCAGCATTTGCTTGTCTGTTAAGGATTTTATTTCTCCTTCACTTATGAAGCTTACTTGGCTGGATATGAAATTCGGGCTTGAAAATTCTTTTCTTTCAGAATGTTGAATATTGACCCCCACTCTCTTCTGGCTTATAGAGTTTCTGCCGAGTGATCCACTGTTAGTCTCATGGGCTTCTCTTCATGGGTAACCCAACCTTTCTCCCTGGCTGCCCTTAACATTTTTTCCTACATTTCAACCTTGGTGAATCTGAATATTGTGTGTCTTGGGATTGCTCTTCTCGAGGAGTATCTTTGTGGTGTTCTCTGTATTTCCTGAATTTGAATGTTGGCCTGTCTTGCTAGGTTGGGGAAGTTCTCCTGGATAATATGCTGAAGAGTGTTTTCCAACTTGGTTCCATTCCCCCTGTCACTTTCAGGTACACCAATCAAACGTAGGTTTGGTTTTTCCACATAGTCCCATATTTCTTGGAGACTTTGTTCATTTCTTTTCATTCTTTTTTCTCTAATCTGGTCTTCATGCTTTATTTCATTAAGCTGATCTTCAATCTCTGATATCCTTTCTTCCACTTGATCGATTTGGCTATTGAGACTTGTGTATGCTTCATGAAGTTCTCGTGCTGTGTTTTTCAGCTCCATTGGGTCCTTTATGTTCCTCACTAAACTGGTTGTTCTAATTAGCCATCGTCTAACCTTTTTTCAAGGTTTTTAGCTTCCTTACATTGGGTTAGAACATGCTCCTTTAGCTTGGAAGAGTTTGTTATTACCCACCTTCTGAAGCCTACTTCTGTCAATTCGTCAAACTCATTCTCCATCCAGTTTTGTTCCCTTGCTGGCGAGGAGTTGTGATGCTTTGGAGGAGAAGAGGCATTCTGGGTTTTGGAATTTTTAGCCTTTTTGCACTGGTTTTTCCTCATGTTCGTGGATTTATCTACCTTTAGTCTTTGATGTTGGTGACCTTCAGATGGGGTTCTGTGTGGATGTCCTTTTTGTTGATGTTGATGCTATTCCTTTCTGTTTGTTAGTTTTCCTTCTGACAGTCAGGCTCCTCTGCTGCAGGTCTGCTGAAATTTGCTGGAGGTCCACTCTAGGCCCTGTTTGCCTGGGGATCACAAGTGGAGGCTGCAGAACAGCAAAGATTGCTGCCTGCTCCTTCCTCTGTAAGGTTCGTCCCAGAGGGGCACCCGCCATATGCCAGCCAGAGCTCTCCTGTATGAGGTGTCTGTTGACCCCTGCTGGGAGGTGTCTCCCAATCAGAAGGCACAGGGGTCAGGCACCCAGTTGAAGGGCAGTCTGTCCCTTAGCAGAACTCGAACACTGTGCTGGGAGATCCGCTGCTCTCTTCAGAGCTGGCATGCAGGGCTGTTTAAGTCTGCTGAAGCTGTGCCCACAGCCTCCCCTTCCCCCAGGTGCTCTGTCCCAGTGAGATGGGAGTTTTATCTATAAGTCCCTGACTGGTACTGCTGCCTTTCTTTCAGAGATCCCCTTCCCAGAGACGAGGACTCTAGAGAGGGAGTCGGGCCACAGCCGCTTTGCTGAGCTGCGGTGGGCTTTGCCCAGCTTGAACTTCCTGGTGGCTTTGTTTACACTGAAGGGAAAACCGCCTACTGAAGCCTCAGTAATGGCAGACAACTCTCCCCCAACCAAGCTCTATCATCCCAGGTCAACTTCAGACTGCTGTGCTGGCAGCGAGAATTTCAAGCCAGTGGGTCTTAGCTTGCTGGGCTCCATGGGCGTGGGATCCACTGAGCTAGACCACTTGGCTCCCTGGCTTCAGCCCCCTTTCCAGGAGAGTGAATGGTTCTGTCTCACTGGCATTCCAGGTACCACTGGGGTATGAAAAAAAAAACTCTTACAGCTAGCTCAGTGTGTGCCCAAACACCTGCCAAGTTTTGTGCTTGAAACCCTGGGCCCTGGTGGCGTAGGCACCCAGGGAATCTCCTGGTTTGTGCGTTGCAAAGACCTTGGGAAAAGTGTAGTATCTGGGCCAGAGTGCACCGTTCCTCACAGCACAGTCCCTCATGGTTTCCTTTGAGTAAGGGAGGAAGTTCCCCAACTTCTTGCACTTCCTCGGTGAGGCAATGCCCCACCCTGCTTCCACTCACCCTCCACCAACTGCACCCACTGTCTAATCAGTCCCACTGAGATAAGCCGGGTACCTCAGTTGGAAATCGCCTGCCTTCTGCATTGATCTTGCTAGGAGCTGCAGAATGGAGCTGTTCCTACTCGGCCATCTTGCCAGTCACTGACTGGGGCTAGCTGGTTATTTTGCCCATTAGTTGAGGCAGTTTCTTCACAGTGTCGATGGTCTTTACAATTTGGTATGTTTTTGCAGTGGCTGATACTGGTTTTTCCTTTACCTATTTAGTGCTTCCTTCAGGATCTCTTGTAAGGGAAGCCTGGTGGTGACAAAATCTCTCAGCATTTGCTTGTCTGTAAAGGATTTTATTTCTCCTTTGCTTATGAAGCTTAGTTTGGCTGGATATGAAATTCTGGGTTGAAAATTCTTTTCTTTAAGAATGTTGAATATTGGCCCCCACTCTCTTCTGGCTTATAGGATTTCTGTAGACAGATCCGCTGTTAGTCTGATGGGCTTCCCTTTGTGGGTAACCTGATCTTTCTCTCTGGCTGCCCTTAACATTTTTTCCTTCATTTCAACCTTGGTGAATCATGATTATGTATCTTGGGGTTGCTCTTCTTGAGGAGTATCTTTGTGGTGTTCTCTGGTTCAATACCCCTTTTTAAAAATAGATACATGAACCAGACAGAAAATTAACAAGAAAATACTGGATTTGAACTGTACATTAGAGCAAATGGACTTAAACAGATATGTACAGACAGAAGAATGTGTATTTTTCCTAGTGTACATGGAACATTATCCAGGATAAACCAAATATGAAGCCATAAAACAAGTCTTAGCAAACTCAAGAAGATTAAAATCATAATGGTATTGTTTTCAGCCATGACAGTATAAAATTAGAAATCAGTAACAGGAGAAATTTTGGAAAAGTCACAGATATGTGGAAATTAAACAGCATGTTTCTGAAAAATCAATGGATCAAATAAGAATCAAAGGTAAATTAAAAGTGCTCACTTCAGTAGCACATATACAGAAGGAATTTTTTAAATTTTGATATGAATGACAATAAAAATACAATATATCAAAACCCATGGGGTGTAGCAAAAGTGGTTCTAAAGGGGAACTTTATAGGTATAAATGCCTACATTAAAAAAGAAGAAATACCTTAATCAAAAAATTTAATGTTATGCCCTAAGGAGCTAGAAAAAGAGAAACCTAAACCCAAAGTTAACTGAAGGAAGGGAACAATAATATCAGAGCAGAAATAAATCAAATAGAGAACAGAAAAACCATGTGAAAAAAACTAATAAAACCAAGACTTGATTCTTTGAAAAATAATTTTTTTTGAGACAGAGTCTTGCTCTGTTGCCCAGGCTGGAGTGCAGTGGCATGATCTCAGCTCACTGCAACCTCTGCCTCCTGGGTTCAAGCAATTCTCCTGCCTCCACTTCCCAAGTAGCTGGGACTATAGGCGTGCACCACCATGCCTAGAAAATTTTTTTGTATTTTTAGTAGAGACAGGGTTTCACCATGTTGGCCAAGCCAGTCTCGAACTCCTGACCTCTCGGGTGATCCGCTGCCTCGGCCTCCCAAAGTGCTGGGATTACATGCATGAGCCACTGTGCCCAGCCTTGAAAAATAAATAATATCAAATTCCAAGATAGACTAAGAAAAAAAAAAGACTGGAATAAATAAAATCAGAAATATAAATGAAGACCATACAATACATGCCTCAAAAATAAAAAACATCATAATAAACAATTATGAAAAAGCATCTGCCAACAAATGGCACAACTTATAAAAGTTAATAAACTACTATAAAACAGTAACTTTTAAGAATAAATTAGGAAGAAATAGAAAGCTTGAACAAACTATTATAATAATAAATAAAGACACTGAAGAAGTAATTAGAAACCTTCCAACAGAAATAAAGCTTGGGACCAGATGGCTTTATGGCTGAATTTTACCAAACATTCAAAGAAGAATTATTACCACTTAACTGTCCCAGAAAATAGAGCTGGGAGAATACTTACAACATACTTTACAAGGCCAGCATCACTTTCACAACTAAGCAAGAAAAAGACACCACAATAGGTGTCTTTAGGCCAAAAAAAAAAAAAAAAACTATAGGCCAATAACTCATATAATGCAAAACTCCTCAGTCAAATATTAGCAAACCAAATTCATCAAACACATCAAAAACAGTATACGTCATCACCAAGTGGGATTTATCCTTGGCATGAAAGGCTGGTTAACATACTCAATCAATGTAATACATCACATTTACAGCACGAAAAACAGAAAACCACATGATTATCTCAATTGACACAGAAAAGTATTTGACAAAATTCCACGTCCATTCTTGATTTAAAAAACTCTTAATGGTCAGGTGCAGTGGCTCACACCTGTAAACCCAGCACTTTGGGAGGCCGAAGTGGGTAGATCACTTGAGGTCAGGAGTTCGAGACCAGCCTGGCCAACAAGGTGAAATCCCGTCTCTACTGAAAATACAAAAATTAGCCAGAGGTAATGGTGTGTGCCTGTAGTCCCAGCTACTCAGGAGGCTGAGACAGGAGAGTCACTTGAACCCAGGAGGCAGGGGCTGTAGTGAGCCAAGATTGCACCACTGCACTGCAGCCTGGGTGACAGAGTGAGATTCCTTCTCAAAACGAACAAAAAACTCTTAACAATTCATGTATAAAAGTAAAATTCTGGCCGGGAGCAGTGGCTCACGCCTGTAATCCCAGCACTTTGCAAGGCCGAGGCGGGCAGATCATGAGGTCAGGAATTCGAGATGAGCCTGACCAACATGTTGAAACCCCATCTCTACTAAAAATACAAAAATTAACTGGGCGTGGTGGCACACACCTGTAATCCCAGCTACTCGGGAGGCTGAGGCAGGAGAATCACTTGAACCCTGGAGGCAGAGGTTGCAGTGAGCCAAGATTGCGCCACTGCACTCTAGCCTGGGTGACAGAGTGAGACTCTATCTCAAAAAAAACTAGATATTGTGGGTCGCTTCTAAGATGGCCAAATAGGAACAACTCCGGTCTGCAGCTCCCAGCGAGATCAATGCAGAAGATGAGTGATTTCTGCATTTCCAACTGAGGTACCTGGCTCATCTCACTGGGACTGGTTGGACAGTGGGTGCAGCCCATGGAGGGCAAGCTGAAGTAGGGCAGGGCATCACCTCACCTGGGAAGCACAAGGGGCAGGGGATTTCCCTTTCCTAGCCAAGGGAAGCCATGACAGACTATACCTGGAGAAACAGTACACTCCTAGCCAAATACTGCACTTCTCCCACGGTCTTAGCAACTGGCAAACCAGGAGATACCCTCCTGTGCCTGGCTTGCTGGGTCCCATGCTCACAGAGCCTTGCTCGCTGCCAGCACGGCAGTCTGAGATCAACCTGCGATGCTGCAGCTTGACAGGGGGAGGAGTGTCCACCATTGCTGAGGCTTGAGTGGCTCACTGTGTAAACAAAGCAGCCAGGAACCTTGAACTGGGCGGAGCCCACTGCAGCTCAGCAAGGCCTACTGCCTCTCTAGATTCCACCTCTGAGGGCAGGGCATAGTAGAACAAAAGTCAGTAGGCAGCTTCTACAGACTTAAACGTCCCTGTCTGACAGCTCTGAAGAGAGCAGTGGTTCTCTTAGCATGGCATTTGAGCTCCAAGAACGGACAGACTGCCTCTTCGGGTGGGTCCCTGACCCCCGTGTAGCCTGACTGGGAGACACCTCCCAGTAGAGGCCAACAGACACCTCAAATAGGTGGGTGCCCCTCTGGGATGAAGCTTCCAGAGGAAGGATCAGGCAGCAATATTTGCTGTTTTGCAGCCTCCACTGGTGATACCCAGGCAAACAGGGTGTGGAGTGGACCTCCAGCAAACTCCAAACAGACCTGAAGCTGAGGGGCCTGACCGTTAGAAGGAAAACTAACAAACAGAAAGGAATAGCTTCAACATCAACAAAAAGGACATCCACACCAAAACCCCATCTGTAGGTCACCAACATCAAAGACCAAAGGTAGATAAAACCACAAGATGGAGAGAAACCAGAACAGAAAAGTGGAAAATTCCAAAAACCAGAGCGTCTCTTCTCCTCCAAAGGATCACAGCTCCTCACCAGCAAGGGAACAAAACTGGATGGAGAATGAGTTTGATGAATTGACAGAAGTAGGCTTCAGAAGGTCAGTAATAACAAACTCCTCCGAGCTAAAGGAGCATGCTCTAACCCATCACAAGGAAGCTAAAAACCTTGAAAAAAGGTTAGACAAATGGCTAACTAGAATAACCAGTGTAGAGAAGACCTTAAATGACCTGATGGAGCTGAAATACACAGCATGAGAACTTTGTGACGCATGCACAAGCTTCAGTAGCCGATTTGATCAAGTGGAAGAAAGCATATCAGTGATTGAAAATCAAATTAATGAAATAAAGCAAGAAGACAAGATCAGAGAAAAAAGAGTGAAAAGAAACAAACAAAGCCTCCAAGAAATATGGGACTATGTGAAAAGACCAAATATACATTTGATTGGTGTACCTGAAAGTGACGGGGGGAATGGAACCAAGTTGGAAAACACTCTTCAGAATATTATGCAGGAGAACTTCCCCAACCTAGCAAGACAGGCCAACATTCAAATTCAGGAAATACAGAGAATACCATAAAGATACTCCTTGAGAAGAGCAATCCCAAGACACATAATTGTCAGATTCACCAAGGTTGAAATGTAGGAAAAAATGTTAAGGGCAGCCAGGGAGAAAGGTCGGGTTACCCTCAAAGGGAAGCCCATCAGACTAACAGTGGATCACTTGGCAGAAACTCTACAAGCCAGAAGAGAGTGGGGGTCAATATTCAACATTCTGAAAGAAAAGAATTTTCAACCCAGAATTTCATATCCAGCCAAACTAAGCTTCATAAGTGAAGGAGAAATAAAATCCTTTACAGACAAGCAAATGCTGAGAGATTTTGTCACCACCAGGCCTGCCTTACAAGAGCTCCTGAAGGAAGCACTAAACATGGAAATGGAAAGGAACAACTGGTACCAGCCACTGCAAAAACATGCCAAATTGTAAAGACCATTGACACTATGAAGAAACTGCATCAATTAACAGGCAAAATAACCAGCTAACATCATAATGACAGGATCACATTCAAACATAACAATACTGACCTTAAATGTAAATGGGCTAAATGCCCCAATTAAAAGACACAGACTGGCAAATTGGATAAAGAGTCAAGACCCATCTGTGTGCTGTATTCAGGAGACCCATCTCACGTGCAAAGACGCACATACGCTCAAAATAAAGGGATGGAGGAAGATCTACCAAGCAAATGGAAAGCAAAAAGAAAAGCAGAGGTTGCAATCCTAGTCTCTGATAAAACAGACTTTAAACCAACAAAGATCAAAAGAGACAAAGAAGGCCACCACATAATGGTAAAGGGATCAATTCAACAAGAAGAGCTAACTATGCTAAATATATATGCACCCAATACAGAAGCACCCAGATTCTTAGAGCAAGTCCTTAGAGACCTACAAAGAGACTTAGACTCCCACACAATAATAATGGGAGACTTTAACACCCCACTGTCAATATTAGGTAGATCAATGAGACAGAAGGTTAACAAGTATATCCAGGACTTGAACAGAGCTCTGGACCAAGCTGACCTAATAGACATCTACAGAACTCTCCACCCCAGATCAACAGAATATACATTCTTCTCAGCACCACATTGTACTTATTCTAAAATTGACCACATAATTGGAAGTAAAAACACTCCTCAGCAAATGTAAAAGAACAGAAATCATAACAAACAGTCTCTCAGACCACAGTCCAATCAAATTAGAACTCAGGATTAAGAAACTCACTCAAAACCACATAAATACATGGAAATTGAACAACCTGCTCCTGAATGACTACCGGGTATGAAATAAAGGCAGAAATAAAGATTTTCTTTGAAACCAATGAGAACAAAGACACAACATACCAGAATCTCTAGGACACATTCAAAGCAGTGTGTAGAGGGAAATTTATAGCACTAAATGCCCACAAGAGAAAGCAGGAAAGATCTAAAATTGACACCCTAACATCACAGTTAAAAGAACTAGAGAAGCAAGAGCAAGCAAATTCAAAAGCTAGCAGAAGACAAGAAATAACTAAGATCAGAGCAGAACTGAAGGAGACAGAGACACAAAAAACCCTTCAAAAAATCAATAAATCCAGGAGCTGGTTTTTTTTAAAAGATCAACAAAATACATAGACCACTAGCAAGACTAATAAAGGAGAAAAGAGAGAAGAATCAAATAGATGCAATAAAAAATGATAAAGGGGATATCACCACCGATCCCACAGAAATACAAACTACGATCAGAGAATACTAGAAACACCTCTACACGAATAAACTAGAAAATCTAGAAGAAATGGATAAATTCCACATACACCCTCCCAAGACTAAACCAGGAAGAAGTTGAATCTCTGAATAGACCAATAACAGGTCCTGAAATTCAGGCAGTAATTAATAGCTTACCAACCAAAAAAAGCCCAGGACCAGACGGATTCAGAGCCGAATTCTACCAGAGGTACAAAGAGGAGCTGATACCATTCCTTCTGAAACTATTCCAAAGAATAGAAAAAGAGGGAATCCTCCCTAACTCATTTTATGAGGCCAGTATCATGCTGATACCAAAGCCTGGCAGAGAAACAACAAAAAAGAGAATTTTAGACCAATATCCCTGATGAACATCGATGTGAAAATCCTCAAGAAAACACTGGCAAACCAAATCCAGCAGCACATCAAAAACTTTGTCCACCACAATCATGTTGGCTTCATCCCTGGGATACAAGCCTGGTTCAACATATGCAAATCAATAAACGTAATCCATCACATAAACAGAACCAAAGACAAAAACCACATGATTATCTCAATAGATGCAGAAAAGGCCTTCAACAAAATTCAACAGCCCTTCATGCTAAATACTCTCAATAAACTAGGTATTGATGGAACGTATCTCAAAATAATAAGAGGTATTTATGGCAAACCCACAGCCAATACCATACTGAATGGGCAAAAACTGGAAGCATTGCCTTTGAAAAGCAGCACAAGCAAGGATGTCCTCTCTCACCACTCCTATTCAACATAGTGTTGGAAGTCCTGGCCTGGGCAATCAGCCAAGAGAAAGAAATGAAGGGTATACAATTAGGAAAAGAGGAAGTCAAATTGTCCCTGTTTGCAGGTAACATGATTGTATATTTAGAAAACCCCATCATCTCAGCCCCAAATCTCCTTAAGCTGATAAGCAACTTCAGCAAAGTCTCAGGATACAAAATCAATGTGCAAAAATCACAAGCATTCCTATACACCAATAATAGACAAACAGAGAGCCAAATCACGAGTGACCTCACATTCACAATTACTACAAAGAGAATAAAATACCTAGGAATCTAACTTACAAGGGATGTGAAGGACCTCTTCAAGCAGAACTACAAACCACTGCTCAACGAAATAAAAGAGGACACAAACAAATGGAAGAACATTCCATGCTCATGAATAGGAAGAGTCAATATCATGAAAATGGCCATACTGCCCAAGGTAATTTATAGATTCAATGCTATCCCCATCAAGCTACCACTGACTTTCTTCACAGAATTGGAAAAAACTACTTTAAAGTTCATATGGAACTAAAAAAGAGCCCGCACAGCCAAGACAATCCTAAGCAAAAAGAACAAAGCTGGAGGCATCACGCTACCTGACTTCAAACTATACTACAAGCCTACAGTAACCAAAACAGCATGGTACTGGTTCCGAAACAGACATATAGACCAATGGAACAGAACAGAGGCCTCAGAAATAATACCACACATTTACAACCATCTGATCTTTGACAAACCTGACAAAAACAAGCAATGCTTAAAGGATTCCCTATTTAATAAATGGTGCTGGGAAAACTGGCTAGTCATATGTAGAAAGCTGAAACTGGATCCCTTCCTTACACTGTATACAAAAATTAACTCAAGATGGAGTAAAGTCTTAAATGTAAGACCTAACACCATAAAAACCCTAGAAGAAAACCTAGGCAATACCATTCAGGACATAAGCATGGGCAAAGACTTCATGACTAAAACACCAAAAGCAAGGGCAACAAAAGCCAGAATTGACAAATGGGATCTAATTAAACTAAAGAGCTTCTGCATAGCAAAAGAAACTATCATCAGAGTGAACAGGCAACCTACAGAATGGGAGAAAATTTTTGCAATCTATCCATCTGACAAAGGGATAATATCCAGAATCTACAAAGAACTTAAACAAATTTACAAGAAAAAAAACCCATCAAAACGTGGGCAAAGGATATGAACAGACGCTTCTCAAAAGATGACATTTATGCAGCCAACAGACATATGAAAAAATGCTCATCATGACTGGTCATCAGAGAAATGCAAATCAAAACCACAATGAGATACCATCTCATGCCAGTTAGGATGGCGATCATTAAAAAGTCAGGAAACAACAGATGCTGGAGAGGATGTGGAGAAATAGGAATGCTTTTACACTGTTGGTGGGAGTGTAAATTAGTTCAACCATTGTGGAAGACAGTGTGGTGATTCCTCAAGGATCTAGAACTAGAAATACCCTTTGACCCAGTGATCCCATTACTGGGTATATACTCAAAGGATTATAAATCATTCTACTATAAAGACACATGCACACTTATGTTTACTGTGGCACTATTCACAGTAGCAAAGACTTGGAACACACCCAAATGTCCATCAATGATAGACTGGATTAAGAAAATGTGGCACATATACATCATGGAATATTATGCAGCCATAAAAAAGGATGAGTTCAAGTCCTTTGCTGGGACATGGATGAAGCTGGAAACCATCATTCTAAGCAAACTATCACAAGGACAGAAAACCAAACACTGCATGTTCTCACTCATAGGTGGGAGTTGAACAATGAGAACACATGGACACGGGGAGGGGAACATCACACAATGGGGCCTGTCGGGGGTGGGGGGGGCTCGGAGAGGGATAGCATTAGGAGAAATACCTAATGTAAATGACGAGTTGATGGGTGCAGCAAACCAACATGGCATGTGTATACCTATGTAATAAACCTGCACGTTGTACACATGTACCCTAGAACTTAAAGTATAATAATAGAAAAAACTAAAATTCCTCTACTTAATAAATGTCATTTATAAAAAAGCCCACAGCTAACACTGTAATCAATGGGGTAAAACTAAAAGCTTTTCCTCTATGATCCAGAACAAGACATAAATGTCCACTCTCACCAATTTTATTCAGAATAGCACTAGAAATATTAGCAAGACCAATCAAACAAGAAAAAGAAATAAAAGGCATCCAAATAAAAAAGATGTGAAACTATCTCTATTTGCAGATAGCATGATCCTATGTGTAGAAAATTGCAAAGATTATACACACAAAAAAAGTAGAGCTAATAAATGAATTCAGTAGAGTTTTAGGATACACAATTAACATATAAAAATCAGTGGCAATTATATAGACTAACAAACAAGTATTTGAAAAAGAAATTAAGAAAAAATCCTATTACGATAGCATCAAAAAATACCTAGGAATAAATTTAACAAGGGGATAAATTTAACAAGGTGATGAAAGATTAGTCTTCAGAAATTTTTAAAACATTGATGAAGGAAATTGAAGAAGACAAAAATGAATTGAAAGATATTCTGTGTTGATGAATGGGAAGAATTAATATTGGTAAAATGTCCACACTACTCAAAGCAATATACAGATTTAATGCAATCTCTATCAAACTTCCAATGGCATTGTTTATGGAAATAGAAAAAACAATTCTAAAACCTATATGGAGCCAAAATAACCCAAATAGCAAAAGCAATACTGAGAAAGACAAACAAAGCTGATGGCTTTACACTTCCTAATTTAAAATTGTATTATAAAGCTAGAGTAATAAAAACAGTATTGTGCTGGTATAAAAAAAGACATGCAGACCAGTGGAACAGAGAAGAGAGCCCACAAATAAATCCAAACATCTATGGTCAACTAATTTTTGACAATGGCACAAGAGGACACAATGAGGAACAGATAGTCTCTCCAATAAATGGTGCTGGGAAAACTGGATTTACACATGCAAAGGAATACAATTAGATTCTTATCTTATGCCATGCTCAAAAATCAACCCAAAATGGATAAAAGACATAAGTATAAAACCTGACACCATACAACTCCTAGAAGAGAACACAGAGGGAAAGCTCCTCAACGTTGGCCTTGACAATAATTTGGGTATCACCTCAAAAACTCAAGCACAATAATAAAAATATATAAATGGTACCACCTCAAACTAAAATGCTTCTGCACACCGAAGGAAACAATCAACAAAGAGAAAAGACAACCTACAAACTTTGAGAAAACAATTGCAACCACATATCTGATAAAGGGTAAAATTTATAAAGAACAATTAAAACACAATAGCAGAAAAATAACCCAATTAAAAATGGGCAAAGGACTGGAATAGACATTTCACCAAAGAAGCCACACAAAAATGGCCAACAGGTATATAAAAATGTGATCAACATCGCTAATCATAAGGCAAATGCAAATCAGAACCACTACGAGATATCACCTCACCCATATTAGAATAGCTAGGACCTAAAGGACAAAAGATAACAAATGTTGGCAAGGGTATGGAGAACAGGGAACCCCTGCACAATATTTGGTGGGAGTGTAGGTTGATACAGCCATTATGGAAAACATTATAAAGGTTCCTGGCTGGGCACAGTGGCTCACACCTGTAATCCTGGCACTTTGGGAAGCCGAGGCAGGTGGATCACTTGAGCTCAGGAGTTAGAGACCAGCCTGGGCAACATGGCAAAACCCCATCTCTACCAAAAATACAGAAAATTAGCTGGGTGTGGTGGTGCATGCCTGTGGTCCCAGCTACTTGGGAGGCTGAGGTGGGAGGATCGTTTGAGCCTGGGAGGCAGAGGTTGCAGTGAGCTGAAATCATGCCACTGCACTCCAGCCTGGGTGACAGAATGAGATCCTATCTAAATAAATAAATAAATAAAGTTTCCTAAAAAATTAAAAATGGAAATGCCATATGATATGGTTTGGCTATGTCCCCACCCAAATCTTATCTTGAACTGTAGTTCCTGTAATCCCCACATGTCGTGGTAGGGACCTGGTGGGAGGTAATTGAATCATGGGAGTGGTTACCCCCATGCTGCTGTTTTCCTGATAGTAAGTAAATTTTCACAAGATCTGATGGTTTTATAAAGGGGCTTTTCCCCCTTTTGCTTGGCACTTCTCCTTGCTGCCGCCATGTAAAGAAGGATGTGTTTGCTTCCCCTTCTGCCATGATTGTAAGTTTCCTGAGGCCTCCCCAGCCCTGTGGAACTACGAGTCAATTAAACCTCTTTCCTTTATAAATTACCCAGTCTCGGCTATGTCTTTATTAGCAGCGTGAGAATGGATTAATACACCATATCACCCAGCAGTCCCTCTTCTTTACCACCTTGTAAAGATATTTGCACTCTTATGTTTATTGCAGCATTATTCACAAAAGTCAAAATATAGAAACAATGTAAATGCCATAGAAAGACAAGTACATAAATATGATATATGTACATAATGGAATATTTTTCCACCTTAGAAAAGAAGATCCTGCCACTTGTTACAACATGTATGGACCTGGAGGACATTACGCTAACTGAATAATCCAGACACAGAAAGGAAAATGTGACTGGGTGCAGGGGCTCAGGCCTGTAGTTCCAGGACTTTGGGAGTCTGATGCAAGAGAACTGCTTGAGGCCAGGAGTTCAAGACCAGCCTGGGCAATATAGCAAGACCCTGTCTCTAGAAAAAAAAAATTTTTTTTAATTAGCCAGGTGCAGTGGCACATGCCTGTAGTCCCATAACATCATGTAGTCATAGCTACTCAGGAAGAGGAGGCAGGAGGATTGTTTGAACCCAGTTTGTTACAATGAGCTGTGATCATGCCACCACACTCCAGCCTGAGCAACAGAGTGTGACTCTATTCAAAAAAAGAGCCAATTTCCAGTATTCATCATGCTAATTAGCAAGTCACTAGCGTCACCAATAAAATCCATTAAAAATTAAAAAAAGAAAAACATTACATGATCTTATTTAATCTCAAAAACACAGAAAAAGAGAACCAACTGGTTATCATGGCTGAGGGAGGCGAAGGAAATGCGGAGATGTAGATCAAAGGATAAAAAGTAGGCGATATGTAGAATCAATATCTAGAGGTCTAATGTACAATATAAGAAGTCAAGTAGTTAAATTGTATTGTATTAGGAATTCTTGTTAAATAAGCATATTTTAGCTCCTCTTATTACAAAAATACAAAGTAACTATCTGAAATGATAAATATGTTAATCTGCTTCACTGGAGTACCACTTTACTATCTATATGCATCCCATAATGCCATGTTGTAAACCTCAAATACACATAATTTATCTTTGAAGAAACATAGAGTAGGATGAAGGACAGAGCAAGATGGCAGAAGAGAACTCTTTAGCTGTTGTCTCACTGCAGAAACATCACATAGAATGACTAGCAACATACATAAATACCTTCATGAGAGCTAAGGAGACCAGGTGAGAGATCAGAGTATATGGTTGTAACATAATAAGAAAAGATGCATTGGAGAGGGTAGAAAGGACAGTTTTAATTACCTGAATCACTTCTCCCCCAACTGCAGGTATCATAGCACAGAGAGAGATACCATCCACTTGGAGGAGAGATGGAAGTGAACATAGGATTCTGCCTTGTTCCCTAACATTTGGCCCCCAACAATAAAACCAAGCATGAGGCTTACCCCCAAAGCCTCTTAATCCAGGTCAGTAGCCATAGTTTGAGCCTCCTGACCTGCTCCAGTGGCAGGCAAGATCCCATACCCCTTTAAAATTTACTGAATGTCTGGGCTTCATCACTGCCAGCTGACTACAGTGGCGTTTGTTCCAGAAAAACCTCAGAGGCAGAGAGGCAGGCATCAGCAAATACTTCAGGTACACCTAATACTGTACCAGCCAGTAGCCACAGCTCCATTTATGGTAAATGCCCTATATTGGTGTA